>NC_000022.11:30073200-30224715 GCF_000001405.40 Homo sapiens | reverse complement strand
AAAAAAGGAAAGGAATGCATGGTAAACCTCAAAGCGATGAGAAAATGCTTGTGAGTCTTTTCAGAGCTCCGGCCTTGTGACAGTGGCTCTCCTGAGGCTGTGGCCACTGCTGTCAGGCTGGGACCAGACCTGGGGTGTCTCCATTCAGGGCTCTGTCATCCAAACACCGCAGGGTCTGACCGGGTGTGCTCATGTCCCTGGTCTGTAACCCTTTCTGGGGTAATGAGTTCCATAAGTTTATCTTTGCTGGGTACTGTAAATTCCTGTTTACCAAGGGACCCACAGAAATAAACAGAATACTCGGATGACCAGAATTTTCCATCTCAGCATGTTCGAGGATAGCCCGAGTCACAGCTCTCACCGGCAACCTTGCAGAGCCCTGAGGGCATCCTGTAAAGCTGGGATGCGCCTCACCATTAGGTGGGGTCAGTTACAGAATCGCAGATCACGGCAGCCAGGAGGACCTCAGAGAAACCTTGGGAGTTTCTAACCAGGCTCTGAGGATCTCTGTGGGGCTGGCAGGTGACTCAGAGCCACTTTGGGAAGGGTTTTTTTTTTATTGTTCTTTGGGACAGAGAATTGCTCTGTCACCCAGGCTGGAGTGCAGTGCCACAATCTCAGCAAACTCTGCCTCCTGGGCTCAGACAATCCTCCCACCTGAGCCTCCGGAGTAGCTGGGACTATAGACACACACACTGCACTCTGCTAATTTTTGTATTTACTTTTTGTATAGATGGAGTCTCACCATGCTACCCATGGCTGGTCTCGAACTCTTGGACTCAAGTGATCCACCTGCCTTGGCCTCCCAAAGTGCTGGGATTACAGGCATGAGCCACCACTCCTGGCCTTGGGATGGGGTTTTACATATGGGATATTACATGAGATTTTCCTTTAAGAAGTAGGGACTTCTTCTGCTAAAACCAAAATAAAAACACCCGGAAAGCTTGGAAACTGCCAACATAGTTCAAATCTTCATCGCTCTACGAAAGAAACCCCACAAAGACAGCCCCACAAAGGGCGGTGGGCTTCCTGCCAGCCCATGCTATGGCTCCCACTTAATCAGAATATTCAGTTAACAGGAACGCCCTCCGCCTGACCATTTCCCCGTGGGACTTCCCTTGTTTCCCCTAAAGCGTCCTCCTTCTGGCTTTGAAGACAGAGACCAGGTCGGGTATCTGGGGTTTCATGAACGAGGCTGTGGTCACCCTCATTATCCAGGTCATTTCCTCCTACAGGGGAGGCTCCTGCCCACACGTCCTGCCCCTCGTCCTTCCGGTGGACACTGTGGGCCTCTCTCTGGGTTAGAGACCTGTGCACGGAGGAGCCGGACAGCGGGCTGCTTCCCAGGGGTGCATTCAGGGGACTCGAGGGCTGCAGAGTCAGGCAGCCCCAGCTGACCAGGGCTGGTTCACGGATACCCCTGAGCCGATGTGTCTGCCTCAGTCCTCAGTCCCTTAGTACATGTGTGGTGAATCCCTACTATGTGGGGATCCAGAGTTGAACAAGAGCCAACTGGCCCTCCAAGAGCCCAGCGTCCAGTGGGAAGACGGACATGGAGACCCTAGACACGGTGCTATTTAGGGGAGCACAGAGGTGCTGGAATATAATAAAAGATGGGGTGTGAATGGGATGGGTGGGGGAAGGATGAAGGGAGGGCCTGCAGCGGGTGGGAGGGACGCCATCCGGGATGTAAGGAGTTGGAATAAACACAGCCGAGGAGTGGGAGAGGTTATGTAAGAAGAGGTACCAACCCAGGCAGTTACAACATTAAAGGGCATGATGTGTCCAAGACTCTTAGCAGCATGCAGTCCACACGGGCTCAAAAAATGACAGTGACTCTTGTGGTTCCTCGTGTAGAATGACAGAATCCTAGGATCTCAGGGGGTCTTAAAGGTCATCTAAGCCAGAACTTCTTAACTGGGGGCAATTCTGCCCCAGGGCACACTTGACAATGTCTGGAAACATTTTTGGCTGTCACAGTTGGGGATGCTGCTGGCAACTGGCTGTAGACAGCAGGGATGCGGCTGAATATCCTACAATGCCAAGGGCAGCCCCCACCTCCAAGAGTGTGGATCATGCTGAGGTTGAGAAGCCCGGTGCTAGGGTAACCTCCCTCATAGAATCTGCTCCCCTCTGCACTACCTCTTCTGCCACCTGGTTGTCAGGCCTGCACTTGAATGCCCCCAGTGATGGGGAGCTCACCACCCTGCAGGCAACATGTTCTATCTGTAACTGGCTCAGTGTATTCAGAATGCTCTTTTCCATAACGAACTGAATCCCTTCTCCATGTTCCTATAACCTCCTAGGGCATTTGTCCTTGTTCTACCCTTGGGACCACCCGGAACTAGCCTAATTCAGCTTCTACCTAAAAGGCTTTCAAATATTTGATGGTGTGTTTGTGAATCTTTCCTGCTCCAGCCTGAACACCCTCCATGTGACCCAGGAAGTTTGGCTTGGGGTGTCGGGGTGGTCTCTACCTGTGTGAAAAGCACAAGGACCCCAATTACCCCAGCTTGGCAGCCAACGGGGCCAGAGGAAAGCAAAGAGGTGGGTGGTGATGTCCAGGCCCCAGGAGCCCAACATCCCCATGGTTCTCCTGCCTGCTCCGTGATGCTGCTTCTCCAAGCCTCAGTTTTATCTCCTGTCAAATGGGTATAAGGACACCCACCTGGCCTTTTGCACTCGGCACTGTGAGGCTCAGAGGAGGTAAGTAATGAGAAGATGCTTCAGAAAGGTGAAAACACTGCACGAAGAGGTTGATATCCTCACCATCCAAGAAATGGATACCATCACCATACAAGAGGTTAATATCATCATGCCCACGATCCTCCCATCCCTTAGGTCTGCATGGCCAGGTGTTTTCATGCACATTGCTTTGTCTTCCTCCAGTGCACACTCTGTGCTCCCCGACGGCAGAGGGAGAGCAGCACTGGCGGTCCCCATTTTACAGACAAGCAAACTGAGGCTCAGAGACTGCAAATCACACATGGTGGGGCCAAAAGGCTGAACTCTCCAAAAAGCCAAAAGGAGACCCCATGACTCCAAATTCAGGACTCATTAGTGCCAGGGCCACGGTGACTTGGGGAGACCAAGAGAGTATCAGGGCCGAGGAGACAGGAAGCTGGTGGCACCACTGGGGACCGTCATCAGGGCCCGCTCCTCCTCCACACACTTCTTGTGCCCCCTCAAAGCTGCCTGCGGTTGGGTTCCACAAGCCTGACTGGTGGCATGGCCGTGGGCCGTGGCCGGTGTGGCCTGCGCCTGGGGCACCTGCTTCTCTCTCACACCTACCCTCCTCTCTCGCTTCCTCTCGCGGCTTGGGTTTCCTTCCTCCCTTCAAAGCTCACAAGTTCTCTTCTCTAGAGGCCACTTTCTTTTTTTTTCTTGGAATCTGCCCAGGGAGAGACACCTGTGTTTCTGTTTCGATTCCTCCCCAGGCACTTCTGTTTCCTGGGGAGGCCTGAGGGTAGCGGGGACGTGGCCCCTGGGCAGCAGGTCCGGCTCTGTGGCCACGAAGGCCATAGAAGCCTCGGTCCCTCTGTCTCCAGGCCCTGACACCCGACGACATCCCCTCCTCCTGATTCCCCGTCTGCCCTCCCTTTGCCCTCATCACTCCAACCTGAGCCCCAGAGACTCTCAGCCTCAGAGATGGAAGGGCTTTTGTTAGAACCCAGGCCCAGAGAGGGGCAAGGGCTTGCTTGAAGAAACACAGGGGGTAGAGGTAGATGTCGGGGGACTGTCCTTCCCAGGACACCAGGCAGGATTCTCCTCCCTGTCACACCCCAACCTCCACCCAGAACATTCCCTGAGTAGGCTTCCACCCTTTTCACCTGTGACATCTTCTTCTGCCTCTTGCTTTCTTGCCTGACTCATTTTTCAGGACTCAGCCCAATGGCACCTGCTCTAGGAAGCCTTCCTGGATTGCCTCTCCCTTCACCCAAGCTCCCTAGGCTGAGAGGTGTCCCCCTCTCTTCCCATAGCACTGTACTAACATGGCCTCTTGTGGAAAACTTATTTTCACTCCTGAGCTCAGACACCTGTCCTCAGCCAGCCCCGCTCACCAGGTCGTCTCCCTGTGCCCCGCCTGTGCCTGCTGTATTATGACAGGAATCGTTTACTTCTCTATCCTCCCCGACCTGTGAGTTTCTCAAAGCCTGCACCTTCACACTTTTCTTTTTTCAACAGCTTTATTGAGAGAGAATTCACACACTGTAAAATTCACCCATTTAAAGTGCAGAATTCAGTGGTTTTTAGTGTATTCACTGATATTTGCAACCACAGTCAATTTTAGAACATTCTTACCACTGCAAAAAGAGAGCTTGGGCCAGGTGCTCACGCCTGTACTCCCAACACTTTGGGAGGCTAAGGAAGAGGATGGCTTTAGCCCAGGAGTTCAAGACCAGCCTGGGCAACATAGCAAGACCCCCATCTCTACAAAAAGAAAAAAAAAAACAAACTAGCCTGGCATGGTGGTGTGTTCCTGTGACTCCAGCTACTCAGGAGGCTGAGGTGGGAGGATGTCTTAAGGCTAGGAGGTGGAGGCTGCAGTGAGCTATGATTGCACCACTGCACTCAGCCTGGGTGACAGAATAAGGCCCTGGAAGGAAGAAAAAAAGAGAGAGAGAGAGAGAGACAGACAGACAGACAGAGAGAGAGAGAGAAAGGAAGGAAGGAAGAAAGGAAGGAAGGAAGGGAGGGAGGAAGGAGAGAGAGAGAGAAAGAAGAAGAAAGAAAGAAAAAGAAAGAAAGAAAAAGAAAGAAAGGAGAGAGAGAGGGAAAGAGAGAAAGAAAGAGGAAGGAAGGAAAGAAAGAAAGAGAGAGGGTGGAAAGAAAGAGAGAGAGGGAAAGAAAGAGAGGAAGGAAGGATGGAAGGAAGAAAGAAAGAAGAAAGAGAGAGAGGGAAAGAGAGAAAGAAAGAAAAGGAGAGAGAAAGAAAGAAAAGGAGAGAGAAAGAAAGAAGAGAGAGAGGGAAAGAAAGAGAGAGAGGAAGGAAGGAAGAAAGAAGAAAGAAAGAAAAAGAAAGAAAGAAAGAAAGAACCTATACCCTTTGGCTATCACCCCCCATGCTCACCCCCAACCACGAGAAACCACTGATCTTTGTTTCTATGAATTTTCCTATCCTAGATATTTCATACACGGAATATCTATATGGAATTACCACATGTAGCCTGTAGGGACTGGCTTCTTTCACCCGCATAGTGTTTGCAAAGTTCATGCATGTTGTAGCATGGGTGGGACTTCATTCCATTTTATGGCTGAATAACATTCCACTGTATGGATATTCTACATTTTGTTTTTCCATGTGGGTAGTTTCCACATTTTGCCTGTTATGAATAATGCTGCTATGAACATTCATGTTCCTGTCTTTGTGTGTGCCTGCGTTTTCCTTTCTCTCAGGTGCATATGGAGGAGTGAGATTGCTGGGTCACGTGACAACTCTGTCTAATTACTTGAGGAACTAACAGGCTGTTCCGCAGTGGCTGTGCCATTCCGCATTCCCACCAGCAGTGGACAGAGGTTCTGGTTTCTCCACATCCTGGCTATCTCTCGCATTATGTGACTTTATTATTTCTTTTATTTATTTATTTATTTTTTAGAGAAGGGGGTCTTGCTACATTGCCCAGGCTGGTCTTGAACTCCTGGCCTCAAGACATCCTCCTACCTCAGCCTCTCAAAGTGCTGGGATTACAGGCATATACTACCATGCCTGGCCTTATGTGATTTTTTGATTCTAGCCACACCTAGTAGGTACAAAGTGGTGAGTCTTTTTATTTATTTATTTTTTTGAGACGGAGTCTCTCTCTGTCACCCATGCTGGAGTGCAATGGTGCTATCTCGGCTCACTGCAACCTCTGCCTCCCAGGTTCAAGTGATTCTCCTGCCTCAGTCTCCCGAGTAGCTGGGATTACGGAGGTGTGCCACCACACCTGGCTAATTTTTGTATTTTTAGTAGAGACAAGATTTCACCATTTTGGCCAGGCTGGTCTTGAACTCCTGACCTCAGGTGATCCGCCCTCCTCAGCCTCCCAAAGTGCTGGGATTACAGGTGTGAGCCACTGTGCCTGGCCTAGAAGTGGTGAGTCTTAATTCTTTTATTTGCAGGGGGTGAGGCCTGGCTATGGAACTGTCAAGGCAGACCTGGGGCTGGAAGCCCAGCTCTTCAGTGCTGGGGGACTTTGGGCAAGGTCCTTTCCTCTCTGCGGGTCTTGCCACTCTCTTCTGTGGAGTGCGACTCCGGTAGATGGATATGAAATGTGAAGTACTCAGCATGTTGCTGGCCTGCAGCACGTGATCATCCACGTGAACCCCAGTAACAGTGACAATGGTCGTGCCGAGAGCCTCGCATGGGCTCTGGCGCCCAGCCGGCCCTCCTGGGTGTAGGTGGAGAGAACAGTGGCTGGTGTGCCCCGGGGAGGATGCCAACCGAGGGCCTGGGCTGGACGGGAAGGTACCCGGGGAGGCACTCCCAGCCTCCTGTTCAGGGGCCCCTTGGCCAAAGTCCCTCAGAGGCCAGCTCCTGTTAAGCCTGGGGAGCAGTTTTCTTTATACGGCTGTTCTGAGACTCAGCACATATGAGCTTTCTCCTGATGGTTCAAATTAGAAAGCAGCTGATGCATTCTAGAAAACCCAGGGAAAAACATTATTGTTGGAGGCCAGTCTTCTTGTTGGCAGAGCTGACTGCCCTGGCCTGGCATTCCAGAGAACAAAAACCTTCACTGGCAGAATCAGAGCCTTCCCGTCGGGGGCTCCCCTCCTCCCCTCCCTGTCTCCCTCTCACCCACCCGCCCTGGGCCTGACAAAGCACTGGCTGCCGTATGGGAGCCGGGACAAGATTCCTCTGGCTGTCCAGGCTCGTCCACCCCGGCAGCATGTTGGTGAACTGAAGTCTGACTCAACTCTTGGCCTGGCAAGGGCCTGGCTGTCTGGCGCAGGGCAAAGGTGGTGCCCTCTGGAGAAAGGAGGAGGCCAGTGGGGAGGGAAGAGGACCAGGAGGAAAGTGGCCACAGGCTGGCTGGACACTGAGCTCAGAAGAGGGGAGATGGTGTTACTGTTGCCATTTTACAGGTGAGGAAATTGAGGCTCAGAGAGGTGAGTGAAGTCACCTGCCCATAGTCACACAGCCAGAAAGTGGTGATGTGAGGCCTGGACCTCAGGCTGGCTCTGAGGCCCCCACGTTTCCTTTTCACACTGATAATGAGAGTCAAAGCACTTTGTGAACCAAAGGCATGGCGGAAACGTGCAGGATTTTATTTTTATTTATGTTTATTTTTTATTTTTTTGAGACAGTCTCACTCTGTCACCTAGGCTGGAGTCCAGTGGCGTGATATCAGATCACTGTAACCTCTGCTTCCCAGATTCAAGCAATTCTCCTGCCTCAGCCTCCCGAGCAGCTGGGATTGCAGGCGCTCGCCACCACTTCCGGTTAATTTTTTGTATTTTTAGTAGAGACAGGGTTTTACCATGTTGGCCAGGCTGGTCTTGAATTCCTGACCTCAAGAGATCCACCTGCCTTGGCTTCCCAAAGTGCTGGGATTACAGGCGTGAGCCATCATGCCCAGCCATGTGTGGGGTTTTAAAAATCTTTCTTATTGCTGTTTTTCTTACCTGGGTCTGCCCTTCCCCCACCCCTACCTCCCCAACCCGGAGTGGCCAGGGGAGGTGGGCAGAAGAAGATGCTGGCGAGGCCTCCCTTCCAGCCGGCCATCAGCCTTGTGTGGCTTCTGCTTGGTCACCAACATTTAGAGGCCTGTTGACTGGGGCTGCCTTATCTCTTGTCTCGAGGACAGCAGGCCCATACTCAGAGAAGCCCAGCTTCAGATGAGCAGTGGCGATTGGCAGGGTCTGCAATGCCCTGATAAAGCCTCTTTGGCACGGGAGGGGAGCAGGTGACGTCCCCTCACACCCTCCTCCTTCACACTTCCCTTACTGTCCTGGCTCCTGATGCTCCGTCCCCTTCCTCAGAAGGACAGACACTCCGAGCGCCCAGGCCACTGGAACTCAGGGGGTCCCAATCCCCAACAACCAGTCCCCATTCTAGGCAGCCCCCACTTAACTTGGGTGTGAGCCAGTCCTGGTTCTGAACCACAGCCACAGAATGGCTAAGGGGTGTGAGTGTCTCAGTTTCCTCACCCTGAAATGAGGCTATTCTTGTCTCCACCCCATGGGTTGTCCAATCCAGTCACGTAACATAAGGTTTTTGGTTTTTTGGTTTTTGAAACAGGGTCTCACTCTGTTGCCCAGGCTGGAGTGCAGTGGCACAATTATGGCTCACTGCAGCCTCAACCTCCTGGGCTCAAGTGATCCTCCCACCTTAGCCGCCTGAGTAGCTGGGATTACAGACCCATGCCACCACACCTGGCTAATTTTTAAAATTTTTTTGTAGAGTTGGGATCTTGTTATGTTGCCCAGGCTGGTCTTGAACTCCTGGACTCAAGCGATCCTCCTGCCTCGGCCTCCCAAAGTGCTGAGATTACAGGCATGAGCCTCCACACCCAGCCAGGTAACACATGTGTTGCATATCAGAGGCTGGCCTGTGGGTAAGTGCTCCATAAATGATCATGTTCCTCATTGATTTCCCCAACTGTGTGCCTTAGCCGTGCTGGTCCCCTCGTCTGGAATTCCTCTTCTTCTACCTTGGTCTTTTCAAACTGGCCCCTCTTTTAAGACTGAGTCTGAATCTCACCTTCTCCCCAAGGCCATCCCGACTTCCCTGGTCCCCATCACCTCCCTGGGTTTCCCTATCTTACAGCACTTGGAATCAACCCCTTCAGGGAATAAATGAAAGACTGGAGGGAGGTACTCTGAGGGGTTAACCAGGGCTACCCAGGGTAGTGAGCTATAAATGATCTTGGCTTTTCCTCCCGTTGTGTGTGTGTGTGTGTGTGTGTGTGTGTGCATAGAGGCACACACGCATGCACAGGTGAGTCCTACCTTTCTGCATTCTGCACAATTTACATCTGCAATTAGAAAAAAATTCCAAATAAATACTATGGTTAAGAAGGATCTGCTGCACTGGTTGACAGCTTCATGGAAAGGTGGAGCCTTTTTGTTTGTTTGTTTGTTTCTGTTTTTGTTTTTTTGAGACGGGGTTTCGCTCTTGTTGCCTAGACTGGAGTACAGTGGCATGATCTTGGCTCTCTGCAACCTCTTTCTCTTGGGTTCAAGTGATTCTCCTGCCTCAGCCTCCCGAGAAGCTGGGATTACAGGCATGCGCCACCACACCTGGCTGATTTTTGTATTTTTAGTAGAGACGGGGTTTCACCATGTTGGCCAGGCTGGTCTTGAACTCCTGACCTCAGATGATCCACCTGCCTCAGCCTCCCAAAGTGCTGAGATGACAGGCATGAGGCACCGTGCCCGACTTAGCCTTGAGTTTTTCACCACAGCATCAACTGTGACTGTCCAGGCAGCGGGTCTCACACCTGATCCCTGGTGGCCGCCTGCTCATCCTGAGGGATGGAGCTACAATTCAAACTCCATTGAATGTGATGATCACTGACTCACCAGCCTCAGTCCTGTCTGCTCCAGCCCCAGAGAACACCTACCACAAACCGTCTGAGGTTTCTGCAGCTTCCTTGTCCACGTTCCCATCTCAGAGGTTCAAGCTGCTTTCCATACCCTACCACACCTGCCCCAAAGACTCCCTGAGCCCTGGTCCTTCTTTGGTGCTTTGCTGGCTGCCTTGGGTTGCTAATTACCGCCTCCCTGCTACACTGTATGCTCCTTAAGAGCAGGGGATGCCTCCAACACCTCCCTGCCTCCTAGCTCCTGGCTTGGTGCCCAACTCATGGCAGTGCAGGTGGTCAGGGAGAAGCCGAGTACGGGAATCCTAAGAGTCACAACTCTGGTTATCATGACAATGACAGCAGCCGCCGTTTACTGAAAGCTGATGTTGAGCCTTTGTCTGCTCGACTCTTTACCTGGATTACATCATATAACCTTCTCCATGTCCCCTTGCAACTCAGAGACTAAGGTGCTATTGAATGAACCTTACAGTGGAGAAAAGGCCACCAGGAAAGGAGCGCGGGGAGCTCAGATGCTGCCTTTTCTTGCCTCAGTTTCCTCCTCTGTACAGGGCTCTGACATCTGCTCTCCTTTCCTCCTTCCAGGTGGCTGTGAGGGTCAAACAATACAGTGAGCACGTTGTCACATGCAAACATCAGCACAGATGCAGCATCTGGATTAAATGCCTACTGGAGGCCCCATCTAAGCCCAGCAACCTGGGGAGAAATGATAACTTCTTTTTTTTTTTTTGGAGATGGGGGTCTCACTCTGTTGCCCAGGCTAGAATACAGTGGCACAATCATGGCTCACTTCAGCCTGTACCTCCTAGGTTCAAGTAATCCTCCCACCTCAGCATCCCAAGTAGCTGGTACTACAGGTGCATGCTACCAAACCTGGCTAAATTCTTTCAATTTTTTTGCAGATATGAGGTTTTGCTACGTTGCCTAGGCTAGTCTTGAACTCCTCGACTCAAGCAATCCTCCTGCCTCAGCCTCCTAAAGTGCTGGGATTACAGGCATGCACCACTGCACCTGGCCAGAAATGGCAGAAATGGGAAATTTTTTTTTTTTTTTTTTTTTTTTTTTTTTTAGACAGAGTCTTGCTCTGTTGCCCAGGCTGGAGTGCAGTGGCGCAATCTTGGCTCACTGCAAGCTCTGCCTCACAGGTTCATGCCATTCTCCTGCCTCAGCCTCCCAAGTAGCTGGGACTACAGGCGCCCACCACCACGCCTGGCTAAATTTTTTTTTTTGTACTTTTAGTAGAGATGGGGTTTCATCGTGTTAGCCAGGATGGTCTTGATCTCTTGACCTCGTGATCTGCCCACCTCGGCCTCCCAAAGTGCTGGGATTACAGGCGTGAGCCACCGCACCCGGCCCAGAAATGGGAACTTTTAACTTGGACTTCCTGTTTACTCTTTAAGGATAATAGTGAAAGTGAAGACATTCGCCGCAGCCTTAGTTCTGTCTGAGAGGGTTTGGACACTGGGCAGGACAGTGCTGGCCCACCTACCCTGGAACCCCCATCCCCACTCCTCTCCTCCTCTCTCACCAGTTCCGACTACACCGGCCATCTTTCCATCCTAGTCGGATCCAAGCCTTTGCCCAGACTATGGAATTCCAGGCGCTTGGAACGCTCTCCACCCTCAGTTCCCTGATTCCTGCCATCCGCAAACTGCCACTGAGATGGCAGCTCTGAGGGGCAGCCTTCCCCACCCTGGGTTTAGGCAGACAGAGGCTTATCCCTCCTCCCCGGTGGCACTCATCTTTGCTCTAATGAAGCAATGAATTGCACAGTGATATCTGCCTTTCCTACCTGGCCAAAGCCTCCCTGGGGGCAGAAAGGGCACCATCCTGCTCTTGCTGTGTCCTAGGGCCAGACGCTTGGCAGGGCGCCCAGGTGGGTTTCAGCGAATGCTCACTAAGTGAGAGTGAATGAATGAATGCAGGAGAGAATACATGGATGTTCCATTCAGCCTCTCCCTCACCAAACGCAGCCCACACGCGCTGTGAGTCTGTCTGGGTGCGGTGGAGGATGCCACTTGGGATTACAATATTTGTAACTTGTGGTTTATGGGCTCTGGAACCAGATGGGGTCTGAATCTCTGCTCTGTTGCTCGTAGCTGTGTGATGTTGAGGAAGTTGCTCAACCTCTCTGTCTAGCTGCAGAACAATCTATTAGAGATAATAATAGCACCTCCCTTGCTGGTGCTATGGAAGTGGGGATTACATGAGGTAAAGGTTACAAGGAGAAGGATTGTAATTATTATTATTGTTGCTGGTAATGACTCAAAGGCTTCCTCCTCCCAATTAATATCTTTGTTTTTTAAGCACAGGAGCCAAGGTCCTCATGACAGGGTTGGAAAGGCCTGGGAGGGGAGCCAGGAGCCTGAGACCAGCTCAGCAGGTCCTGGCCGTGTGACCCAGAGGAAGTCACCCCATCTCGCCTGCTAACCAGATGACTAACAGCAGCAGCAATCATATTGCCTAATTTGCTACCTCACAGGAGTGTGGGAGAAGATCAAACAGAGAAATGAATGAGAAGCATTCTTTCCACAAATATTTGTTGAACACCTACTGTGCTCGAGGCTTGTGGAGGACCAAGCGGGGAACAAGCTGGCATAATCCTTCTCCCTAGGAATGTACAGTCAACAGGGAAGCCAGAAATGAAGGGATTGCTACAAAGTGTGCAAGTGCCTCCCTCTGCTGAGGATTGGGGCACATGATGGCAGAGGCATCTCTGCAAATCCTGACAATCTCACAGGTCATCCCTGCTTTGCCTCCTTTGAGTCTTCATTTATGAAATGGACTGGGTTTTTGTTGTTGTTGTTGTTTTAGATGGTGTCTCGCTCTGTTGCCCAGGCTGGAGTGCAGTGGCGTGATCTCGGCTCACTGCAACCTCCGCCTCCCGGGTTCAAGCAATTCTCCTGCTTCAGCCTCCCGAGTAGTTGGGATTACAGGTGTATGCCACCACACCTGGCTAATTTTTGTATTTTTAGTAGAGACGGGGTTTCACCATGTTTGCCAGGCTGGTCTCGAACTCCTGACCTCAGGTGATCCGCCCACCTTGGCCTCTCAAAGTGCTGGGATTATAAGGCGTGAGCCACTGAGCCCAGCCTGGACTGTTTTTTGTTTTTGAGACAGGGTCTCACTCTGTTGCCTGGGCTGGAGTGCAGTGCTGTGATCATGGCTCACGGTAGCCTCGAACTCCTGGGCTCAGGTGATCCTCCCACCTCAGCCTCCTGAGTAGCTGGCACTACAGGAGCACACCACCACCACCATGCCCCGCTAATTTTTAATTTTTTACAGACAGGGTCTCACTATGTTGCCCAGCCTGGTCTTGAACTCCTGGGCTCAAGCAATCCTGCCTCAGCCTCTCAAAGTGCTGGGATTACAGGGGTGAGCCACTGCACCTGGCCTTGAAATGGACTTTGAAGTGAGCATCAAGATATACCTTCCTCACGACGCTGGTGTAAGGATTGAGCTCATGCATGTGAAAGGGCTTAGCACCGAGCCAGACACCTCTAAGACATCGCTGGATGGCGGTGATTGTTCATGCGCGACCTTGCCACTGGGCACCTGGGGATGCAGGCATGACATTGTCCTTCAAAGAGACAGGGATGAGGAGCATGTGTCTGGCACCTGGAGATCACATTCCCTTCCTCCCTCAGGGCCTATATTTGCCCACACATACACGATTGCGTGGGGACGTTAAAAGGTTCGAAAGCAGATATTCCAAACTGGTAACAGGGTGAGAAATGAGGGTAATTATGAGCCCAGTCATCTACTTTTATGTTTTATCTTTTATATATTGTTTGAACAATAGATCACTTTTTGTTTTTCTTTATTACGGTAAAATACGCGTGACATTAAATGTTCCATTTGAACCATTTTTAAGTGTATGGTTCGGTGGCATTAAGTACGTTCCCAATGTTGCAACCGCTACCACCACCTTCCCCAGTGAAACTCTGTCCCCATTAAACACTAACTCTCCCTTTCCCCTTCCCCAGCCCCTGGCAACATTTATTCTACTTTCTGTCTCTACAAATTTGACTCGTATAAGTGCAATCACACAGTATTTGTCCTTTTGTGTCTGGCTTATTTCACTTAACATAATATCCTCAAGTTCACTCACATGGGAGCATATATCAGAATTTCATTCCTTTTGAATCTAATATTCAATAGATTACTTTTGCCATTGGAAAAAAAAATCATAAAGATTGGAAAAACACAACCATAAAAAGAATGACTGTGCGAATGACTGAAGGAGGAAGAGATGAATAAATGCTCGGGGTCTTCCAGGCATGCCTGCAACTCCGTGGATTTCAGACGGGGTGCATCAGTGGGTCAGCTGGGGTGATGCCGGGGGCAGGCTCCTGTGAATCAGCCGTAGGTCTCCTCTATTACAAGAGAGGGGAGTCAGGCCTCCCACCAGGGCTCTGGTCCCACTGTCCCAGGGACAGCGGAAAATGAAGAAACTCAGCTGAGGGCTGTGAGTCACAGCCGCTGAGGCTGGACGGGGGCCCCACGCCTGGCCCCTGTGGCCCCAGCCATTCAACCTGGGCAGTGAGCGGCACAGAATTCCCGGTCCCCTTCTGATAACAGCCCAGCTCCCCGGGCTCTGGGGACAACCCAGTTGGCCCGGTGAGTAAGGAGGCTCTGGACAATCCCTCCTTTCATAAAGCTCCGCTGCTGACTAATGCCTCCCAGTCACGCCGGCCCTTCCACCTTCCGCCCCAAAACCAATCCCTGCCCAGAGCCAGCCCCTGAGGGCTTTGATTCCTCAAAGCGGAGGAACCTGCTGTCCTCCGCACCCATTTTACCTTCCTGCTGCTGCCCTCATGTTCTGCCCCCACCTACCTCCAGGCTTTGCCTTGGAGACCTCTCTCCTCCTCCTCCTCCTCTCCGCATGTCAACCCTGAGCCCTCCCAAACTCTCTGGGCCTTGCTGTCAAGCCTCAGACCATTCCTGTGATCATCAAATCTTTGCCAAGGGTCTTCTTGTATACCCTCCCCTCCCACTTATCCTCAGTCTTTTTTTGTTTTTGAGACGGAGGCTTGTTCTGTCACCCAGGCTGGAGTCCAGTGGCGTGATTTCGGCTCACTGCAGCCTCCACCTCCTGGGTTCAAGCGATTCTCCCACCTCAGCCTCCTGAATAGCTGGGACTACAGGTGCCCAATGCCACCTGGCTAATTTTTTAATTTTTAGTAAAGACGGGGTTTCACCATATTAGCCAAACTGATCTCGAACTCCTGACCTCAGGTGGCCTCCCAAAGTGCTGGGATTACAGACTTCAGCCACCGTGCCTGGCCATCCTCAGTCTTTTCCATCAGGAAGGAATGGCTAGCCACCTGAGGCTGGGGTCACCTGAGAGATGACTCCAATGAGGGGATTTCAGGCACTCGGGCAGGGCACTGAGGTGCTGTTACTGAGCGTGCATGCAGGGACATCTTGAGCTGCCTCTAGCTCCTTTGAGGCACACAGGAAGCCTTGTGGGGGTTTGAATTCTGACTCTACCACTGACTAGCTGGGTGACCATGGCCAGGTAACTTAACCTCGCTGAGCCTCAATTTCTATACCTGTTTCTAAAAAGTGGGAGGGGGTAGGGATAATAATCTCTCCCTTCCAGAATGGACATGAAGCACCTTCCAGAGAGCCTGCTAACTCAGCCTGCACGGAAGGTCACAGTCAACAGGGGGGCTCAGAAAAATGGGGTTGAGATGCCTTGGGGAGGCCTTGGCCAAGGAGAGTGTGACAAGTCAGGGCAGAATCGAGTCCCTCTGACTCCTCGGCATGTGCAGTGGCTGAGAAATGGCCTCTTGGTTCCCAGAGTTGATGGGAGGGTGGATGACATTCTTTCAGTCACTGTATGAGTGTAGGCGCCTGTGCTCCTGGAGATGGGCCTAGTTTGGAGGGTACAGGACGTCGGTTGAGGAAAAAAAACATCGCTGTTTGGTTCTGGAAGAGAATCTCTCCCTTTTTTGGGGGCGGTGGGCAGTGAGGGAAGTGAGAGAGAAAGGGCCATGGCTAGCTTCTCTCACTCGTGAGGCCTAACGGAGGCGAATGGGGAAACGACTTGGTGTGATCCAAGAGGAAGCTTGGAAAACCGGGGAAAGCTCCGGCCTGGGAGCTGAGAACCACGGTCCTCTTTCCGGGCCCAGCTGGGCCTCCTACCGGCCACGTGGCCGGGGGTGAGTCACAGCCTCTGAGCGACATGACCCTTATCTGCAAAAGGAGGTGGAGAGATGTGAGGACTTCCAAGGCCATTTCCAGCTCTAAGATTCTGTAACGCTGCAGCCATCTCTTTAAAGATGACAAGCAGAGATGCTGAGCTGAAACAGATGTGGTGGATAAAGCCAAAATAATCAGCTCAGTGGTTTTTCTCTCTCCAGTGCCCTGCGTCAGCGAAGCCTTGGGTGAATCTGGCATTTGCTCATTTTGATAGGTAATCAAGGCAACATCTGGGGGCCTGAGCTTCCGGAAGAGGGGCTGATCAAACAGTTCCTACCCTTAGCCCTTCCTCCTTCCTGAACAGCGTGCATGTGATGTGGACCTCCTGAATCCACACGGTCCAGGCTGGCTCCTGCACTGAGCATTTCTTAAACGCGATTTCTTTGCTCATTCTCCAGACCTTCCACAGTCAGCCAGAGTCTGGGGATGCTCATTTGCTAAAGAACTATTTATTTTGCATCTCCCCAGTGCCTGGCACCAAAATAAAAGATTCTGGGGCCCTTGTGTCAGAGGGAATTCTCACGCAGCCTTGGTGCATGAGATAACTATGCTTCCCATAGGAAGGGAGAGAGATGAGAAGGTGACCTTATATCCACAGGGCAGAGCCCTAAGTGGGCAAGGAAGTTTCTGGATGGCGGGGTGGGCAGCACAGACTCTGGAAAGGTGGGAGGAAAAAGGAACCCGGATGGGGAGATTACAGGAACTGAGGCAGTGAGGCAGAAAAATATGGTGTGTTCAGTGGGCAGTGAGGTGACACATTTAGGCAGCACGCAGCTCTCGGAGTTTGATTTCATTTTAAAGGAACCCCATTCCCCTAATTTCCATCATAGACCTAGTTTGTTTCCTCCCCCACACTGCTCATCTGTAATCACACACTCACTTTTCTTTTTTGAGACAGAGTCTCGCTCTGTCGTCCAGGCTGGAGTGCAATGGCGCAATCTCGGCTCACTGCAACCTCCGCCTCTCGAGTTCAAGCGATTCTCCTGTCTCAGCCTCCTGAGTAGCTGGGATTACAGGTGCCCACCATCATGGCTGGCTAATTTTTGTATTTTTAGTAGAGACGGGGTTTCACCATATTGGCCAGGCTGGTCTCGAACTCCTGACCTTGTGATCCATCCGCCTTGGCCTCCCAAAGTGCTGGGATTACAGGCGTGAGCGCACTCACTTTTTAATTATCTGAACCTCTCTCCAGAAAGGAAACTCCCTGGGGAAGGACTATCATCATCTTCTTCACTACTGTCTACTCAGTGCCCAGACACAGCCCCGCACAGAGAAGACACCAGAAAAGATTGTCGGCCTGCACAAAGGCATCTGAGTAGGAGAGAGACAGAATCAAAGCAGTGTTTCAGGGCCTGGTGCAGTGGCTCACGCCTGTAATCCCAGTGCTTTGGGAGGCTGAGGCGGGAGGATCGCTTGAGCCCAGGAGTTGGAAGCTGCAGTGAGCTGTGAGCGTGCCACTGCACTCCAGCCTGGGTGACAGAGCAAGACCCTGTCTCTAAAAGAAAAAAAAAACGAAAAACAAAAAAGCTGTGTTTCAGGATGGCATTTGGGTAAAGAGGTCAAACACTCTTTCTTTTAAGAGCCTGGGACATTTCTTTTTCTTCTTCTTGCTTCCTAATCAGTGGTTTCTTGCCCTTCATAGGAGCCCAGGGCACGGAGTGTCTGGGCCTGGAATGCGGACATGTGTGGGAGGGATGCGAAACTGTGCTGGCAGCCCCAAGAAAAGAATCAGTCTTTGTCCTCATCTTCACATGCACCTGTCGTCCCAAACCCTTGACAAACATTGTGTCATTCACCTTCCAAACCTCTCTGCGGATTCAGCCTGGGCGGGCGGGAGCACAGTGAGCCACATTCTCTGCATTCCCGCCTCCTGACAGCTCCTGGTACCACAGCCGCTGAGCTGGGATGTCCAAACATTCCAACTGACTCATCCGTGGGTGAGCAAGGCCGACACGAGGGGACGGGTGGAGGCTGCTGGGGCTCTGTCTCTGCCGAAGTCCCTAATTCAGAGAAGAAAGTGGGGCGGGTGGGGGAATTGCCGGGATATGGGCCATTTCCCTTGAATGATGCTCGGGTGTCACTTGAGGTGCCAGGAAGTGGTGGCAGTTGCAGCACAGTGGCCCTGGTGGAAGCCTGGGCTCAGACCTCACATACCTAGATTTGAGTTCTGGCTCCATGGTCAGAATTTTGTAACTTCATCAAAACTCTCTGAGATTGGCCGGGCAGAGTGGCTCATGCCTGTAATCCCAGCACTGCAGGAGGATCACTTGAGCCCAGGAGTTTGAGACCAGCCTGGGCAACATAGTGAGACTTCATTTTTCCAAAAAGGAAAAATATTAGCTGGGGATGGTGGCATGCATTTGTAGTTCCAGTTCCTGGTAGGCTGAGGCGAGAGGATTGCTTGAGCCCAGGAGTTTGAGGCTACAGTGAGCTATGGTCGCACCACTGCACCCTAACCTGGAAAACAAAGCCAGACCCTATCTCTGAAAACAAAACAAAACAAACAAACAAAACAAAAAATAAAACAGGCCAGGCGCGGTGGCTCATGCCTGTAATCCCAGCACTTTGGGAGGCTGAGGCAGGTGGATCACGAGGTCAGGAGTTGGAGACCAGCCTGGCCAACATGGTGAAACCCCATCTCTAATACAAAATTAGCTGGGTGTGGTGGCAGGTGCCTGTAGTCCCAGCTACTCAGGAGGCTGAGGCAAGGGAATCTCTTGAACCCAGGAGGCAGAGGTTGCAGTGAGCTGAGATCGTGCCATTGCACTCCAGCCTGGGTGACAGAGCAAGACTCCATCTCAAAAAACAAAACAAAACAAAAAACTCTCTGGGTCTCGGTGTCCTCATCTGTAAATGGAGGCGGGGGGTGAGAATAATGGCTCCTGTGCAGTGTAGTGGTCAGAATGAAGCAAGAAAATGTGAATACTGAGCACGCGAGAGTTGCTTAGCAATGACTTGTGTTAGGTTGTCACCCTTCTGATGCAATGACCTGAGACTCACTTCCGGGTGGGCAGGCGAGTGTGTCATCATCCCTTGCTTCGTCCCACAGGACAAAGGCTGCAAAAGTATCTGGTGGGAATGTCCCTGCCCTGCTTTGGGATTTCGGGTAGGATTTCTCCATCAGGCTGGAGTGGGGCAGCGCTGAGCCTCCCGTGCACATTCAGTGACCTCATTCAGGGGATGAGACCAAACAGAACGGGCAGCGGCTTTTCCGGTCCTCACGCCACCCTCCAGATGGCTTATAACCAGATCCCTGCCAAATTCCTCTCCTCCCTCCCCCAAGACTCATCTGATGCCAAAGCGTTTCTCAAAAGGGGGAAATACAGTACTTTCGTCAGTACCTCATCACCTCACCGCTGGGTCACAAATGACCCCGGCTCAGCCCTGCCTTCCAGCTGTCTTCCCAAGGGGATGTCTCTGAAGATTTTTCCCCAGCTCTGTGCTGGGGCTGTTGGGGAGCTGGACGTCCGGGAATGAGAGGAGGATATGGGACACAACGTGACCTTGGGCCAGTCACCGGCCTTCTCTGGTTCTCACTTTCCCCGTCTGCGAAACGAGGTAGCTGGCTGAGGTCATCCAGGCAGCAGTTTCCGGTCCCAGGGTGTTCTGGCTCCCTGACTGCAGGGAGAGCTGGGAAGATGAGTACTTGTCCCTGCTCAGCAGGAGAGCGCTGTGGTTAGGAAGCCAGTGGCTCTGGGTTCAAATTCTCACCCGGTGCCCTTGCTGGCTCCGTGACCTTAGGTAACACACACACACCCTCTCTGACCAGTTATTCTATCTGTAAAGTGGGTGCAATCATTGCCACCTCTGGAGTTGTTTTAAGGATTAAGAGGATCCACATGCAGAACTCAGCGCAGTGTCTGACACTCGCAATATTATAATTAAATATTATAATTTCATTTCGCTCAACTGCCCGCCTCACAGAGAGAAACTGAGGCCCAGCAGCGGTTGCTGGGAAGAGGATTCAGACCACATTTCCATGTTTGAGCCGCCACCCCGGGCCGGCTCCAGGAGGAAGCTGCAATAACTCAGGGGAAAAGTCCCACGGCGTCTGCTCCAGCTCCCTCAGGCGGCTCTCAGAGCTCGTGCCAAGAGATGGCTTGGCAGCTGCTCTCCCTCCATGCCCATTAGCTTAGTTCCAGATGTTCTAGGCAGCAGCCTGGGGAGCTCTTTCAGGTTCTGTTTCTTTGGATCTACTTTCTTGTAGTTTCCCTTTCCTCTGCTTTTCCCCAACTGGCCCTGGCAGCTTTATAAATGAAAAACAACGTCTTTCCCATCACCTTCGAAATCACCCAACCACAGTTCCCTTCTCATTAGACCCCTGGAAATGCCTTGGCTAGACAGACTTCATGTAGGGACGGCCAGGACAGCCGGGACACCTTATCAAATGTGCTTCTGACCAGCAACCACATGAAAGGCCTAGAGTTTCACATTTGGATTTCATTAGTTCCCACCCCAGTGTGCCTGGGGCCCTGGAGAATGGTGGCCAGGGAGTTCTGGTGGCCCAGGGCAGCCGCCTGAAAGAGCTCTTTCCTGATCACCTACTATGTGTGGCCACTTCACCTCTGTCATCTTAGCCTTCTCAACTCCATGAAATAAGTGTTAACCACCCTTTTTGGATGAAAAACTAAGACTCAGGCTGTGAAACTTATTCATGGTCACCAAGCTACTGTGAGGACCACACTGATCCAACTCCAGGGTGCTGGCTCTTGGGTGATGGATGGATGGCAGGAACACTCCTCTGGGGCCCGTGGGTGACCTGGGGCTATGGGCCTTTGCTACCATCTGTCTGTCAAGCTGGGTGCCAGGCTGCGAGCTCCAAATGGAAACCAGACCCAGTCACTGGCCCCTCCTTGTCATGGAGGAGACAGTCAAATTAACTCTGGGAGAAGCATCAGCTCAAAAGGGCTTTGTGTATGAGAGGATGAGTGTTCACCCAAGTATAGGGCATGGGGGGTATGTAGGTGTGAGGATGTATGTGAGGATGCACATGTGTGTGTGCATGTGTGTGAAGGCACTATGACAATGTGTGCACACATATGCATGTGTGAAAATGCATGTATGTGTGTGCTTGTGTATGAGGGTAAACGTGTACATTAACCTATACGCATGGACATGTGTGAAGATGTAAGGTGCAGGTTCGTGTGTATACAGAGTGCACGTTTGTGTGTGAATGTGTGTATAAGGATGCATGCACGTGCACTTATAGCCATGCGTGAGGGAGAACATGTGTGTTTTGCGTGAGAATGTGTGCGCAGACAGGTGCATTTGAGAATGTGTGAGAAGGTGGATTGTGTGCATACTCACATATAGGAGTGTGTTTATGTATGTGGGTATGTGTGCACATGCACGTATACATGTGTGAGGATGCATGTGCCGGAAGGGTGAATGTATGTGTGCTGTTGTATGTGTACACATGTACCCATGTGTGCTTGGGTGAGGCTATGTGCACTTGTGCAGAGAAGCAGGGGAAGGATGGACAGTGGGGGCAGGAACCCCATGATCTCTTCCAGATGTTTTTCGAGACCTCCTTGGTGTTGAGTGCCAGGCATTTCCAAGCACCAATGACAGATTTTTTTTTTTTTTTTTTGAGACAGAGTCTTGCTCTGTTGTCCAGGCTGGAGTGCAATGGTACAATCTTGGCTCACTGCAACCTCTGCCTCCTGGGTTCAAGCGATTCTCATGCCTCAGCCTCCTGAGTAGCTGGGACTACAGGCATGCGCCGCCACTCCCAGCTAATTTTTGTATATTTTGTAGATACAGGGTTTCGCCATATAGGCCAGGCTGGTCACAAACTCCTGACCTCAAATGATCCACCCGCCTCGGCCTCCCAAAGTGCTGGGATTACAGGCGTAAGGCTGACAGATCTTTTAAATAGTGTATTTGTCTCCTCATATGGTCAAAAGGCAGCAAACAAGCATACAGGGGGTTCCTTTTTCTGAAAGACTGAACCTCCTCTCACCTGGAAGGTTGATCTTGGCCGTGTGCACCTCTGTAGGCCCAGCCTCCTAGGCCAGACCGTGCCCTGGGCCCAAGCTCCTTCTCCACCTCAGGGAGTGGCTCTCCCCTATCTCAGGGCAGATTAACTTCCTTGGCATCGGCTTTGTTTTGGCTCATTAAGGAGGAACAGCCGCTGAGAGTGGAGGCCTCTCCCTTCTACTCCTGGGTCTGGTTCGGCTGAAAACACTTGATTTAGAGCTTCTCGCTTTGCTTTCCTGGCTGCATGTCCCAGGCAGAAGGGGAAACACCTAGGGCCTGGGCTATTTTGTCTGCTGAGATTTGGGAGAGGAACTTGTTTTCCCAGCGAGGTGGCTCTGGCCCGAGCAGTTACTGTTTTGTTTGTTGAGCTTCGTTACTCAGGCTGGGTGGGGTAAGGCTGAGAAGGCTGTAATGGGAAGCAGGAGAGTGGAATCTGAGACTTGTGCAGATAAAACTTCTCCACTGAGGGTTGGACATGAGTGATGGTGTGAAGGAGCTGACTTTTTTTGCATGTGGCCTGCCAGGGAAAGCCCTTGTGTTCATTTCAATCTTTTTTTTTTTTTAAATCCATTCCTCCGATGTAAGCTGATAAATTAAAAAAAAAAATCCATTCCACTCAACTCCCACTCCTCACCCCAAACCCCCACTTTCATTTACATATTGCCTCTCAAAGGCCATAAAGACCATGATGCCTTAGCTAAGAAACAATTTGACCGACGTGCCAACCCAGCCTGCCTGGACCCTGTCAGGGCCTGCTAGACTGCAAGCTTCCTGAGGGCAAGGCCTGTATCTTTCATATGCCTGTTATTGCCCTAACATCTGGCCTGGTGCCTGCTGCCTGGAGCATAACAGGCCTCGTACATATTTGTTAGATGAGTGAAGGATGAGGTAAGTTACAACTGCTTTAAGTTCACTGCCCTTAGTAAATGGCCTTAATCCAAAGATCCTTTGGATCTTGAGCCAAAATTATATTGAGCCAAAATCTACTTCCCTCCAATACAGATTATGTGTACCATGAAAGCCCCATATGCATGTGAAGATGGACATTATACTCTTCCAAAAGCCTGGATCCAAGCTGAACATAGTTCCCGTAGCATTTCTCATATCACGCAGATGCAAGATCCTTCACCGTGTGGCCACCTTTATCAGGACAAATGCTTTTTTTCAATGTACATCTTGAAATATGGTTCATGAGCTGGACCACAACTTCTAGATGTAGCCTCGTCAGAGACAAACACACTAGATGTTGCGGGATTGTGTCCCCCGAAAAGGTATGTTAAAGTCTTAACTTGCCGGGCACGGTGGCTCACGCCTGTAATCCCAGCATTTTGGGAGGCCGAGGCGGGCGGATCATGAGGTCAGGAGATCGAGACCATCCTGGCTAACACAGTGAAACCCCGTCTCTACTAAAAATACAAAAATTAGCCGGGCGAGGGGGTGGGCGCCTGTAGTCCCAGCTACTCGGGAGGCTGAGGCAGGAGAATGGCGTGAACCCCGCGGGGCGGAGCCTGCAGTGAGCTGAGATCGCGCCACTGCACTCCAGCCTGGGCAACAGCGAGAATCCGTCTTGGAAAAAAAAAAAAAAAAAAAAAAGTCTTAACTCTGGGTACCTGTGAATATAACCTTATTTGGAAATCCGGTCTTTGTAGATGTAATCAAGTCAAGATGAGGTTATACTGGAGGAGAGTAGGCCCTAAGTGCAATGGCTGATAGCTGTGTAAGGAGAGAGAGATTTGGAGATACACAGACACATGGAGAAGAAACCTTTGTGAAGACAGAGGTAGAGACTGGAGTGATGGGCCTGCGTGCCAAGAATCACCAAGGATTGTCAGCAACCACTGGAAGCTAGGAGAGGCATCGAACAGATTCTCCCTCAGAGCCTCTAGAAGGAGCCAACCCAGCTGACACCTTGATTTCAGATTTCCAGCCTTCAGAACTGTAAAAGAATACATTTCTGGCCGGGCGTGGTGGCTCACGCCTATAATCCCAGCACTTTGGGAGGCCGAGGTGGGCGGATCACCTGAGGTCAGGAGTTCGAGATCAGCCTGGTCAACGTGGTGAAACCTTGTCTCTACTAAAAATACAAAAATTAGCCGGGCATGGTGGTGGGCACCTGTAGTCCCAGCTACCTGAGAGGCTGAAGCAGGAGAATCGCTTGAACCCAGGAGGCAGAGGTTGCAGTGAGCCAAGATCGAGCCACTGCACTCCAGCCTGGCTGACAGAGCCAGACTCCGTCTCAAAATAATAATAATAATAATAATAATAATAATAATACATTTCTGTTGTTTTTAAGCCACTCAGTTTGTGGTACTTTATGACAGCAGTCCTAGGGCACTAATATGTTGGACCACCACCCCCCTTGATCAATATAAAATATTATTCTTTGCAATCACATGGTTGTACCCTTAAAAAATTAAAGAAACCAGAAAGAAACTACTGAAATTAATAAAATGATTTAGAAAAATGGCTGGACACAAGATAAACACCCCAAAATCAAGGCATTCATCTTTACCAGTAAGCTATTGAGAACCATAATTCCAATATCCTATTCACAGTAGCACCCAAAGCCGTAAATCACATAGCAGTAAACCTATGTGGGATCTTGATAAAGAACACTACACAATTTTACTTAGAAATTTTAAAGGTGATTTGAATAATATAGCCATTGTTACATGGGAAAATTCAATTTAGAAATTTGTTTACTCCCAAATTAACTTGCTGATTCATTATGATTCCAATAAAAACCCCAGTGAGATTCACTGATTTTTTTTTTTTAAAAGAAAATTCATGACTGGGCATGGTGGCTGACGCCTATAATCCCAACACTTTGGGAGGCCTAGGCGGGTGGATCTCTTGGGGTCAGGAGTTTGAGACCAGCCTGGCTGACATGGTGAAACCCCATCTCTACTAAAAATATAAAAATTAGCCAGGCGTGGTAGCAGTCTCCTGTAATTCCAGCTACTCGGGAGGCTGAGGCAGGAGTATCACTTGAACCCAGGAGGCAGAGGTTGCCATGAGCTGAGGTCGTGCCACTGGACTAAAATTTTTTTGCATTTTTAGTAGAGACAGGGTTTTGCCATGTTGGCCAGGCTGGTCTCAAACTCCTGGCCTCGAGTGATCCACCCACCTCAGCCTCTCCAAGTGCTGAGATTACAGGCATAAGCCACGTGCCCGGGCCATCCTTGACTCGTCATCATCACTGATGAAGCTGTGTGTGGAAAACAATGGTGATGGGAATTCAACCTTAGACTAATTGAAAAAAAAAAAAGAAAGAAAAAAATTCATGTCTCATGAATGAGAGAAAATAACAAAATCCTGAAAGGGAAGGGTGAGATGGGGTTGGGAAAGGTCCATCCAACGAGATATTAGAACATATTAACTCAAGAGTATAAAACAGAAAAACACCATAAACAGGCAGATGCTAGTTGACGTCTGTTACCTCCTTCCAGAAGCAAGCTCAGAGTGAGGTGAGATGGCCAAGATAGGACCCAGAGAAGACAAAACAGCAAATGTTGAGAATCTGGGGCACTTAGGTGCTTACACAGACTAAAAAACTAAAGAGAATCTCCTTGTTCACCATTTATCATTAGCAGCACAGAACGTCATTTCTACCCAGAGAGATCCTGGCTTAAAACCCCATCAACCAAATTGCTTTTGGGGTGGAAAGGAAGCCCCTCCACCTTATTTCTGCAATGATATGAAAAGCTGTTCTCAGGGAGGAGAAAGAAAGGGGGAGAGGTAGGAAAGATAGCATGCTTGTGCATATCTACTGATCACGCCTGCGTTTCTTTGGCTAGTTCTGCCACTTGCTGCGTTCTCTGAGAGGGGGTTTGGTAATTACCAGGACAACTTTTTCTCAGTCCAGTCATTTGAATTTCCAGAACAAAATTAGGTTGGGGAAACCCCCTGAATTTGCAGACTCAATATTCTCTGTTTCATCAGAAGTTTGCTGAGCACCTGTGGTGTGCCAAGCTCTGTGCCAGCCCCCAAAGGTTCCTGAGGGTTCCCAATACACAGTTATTTGTGCCTTCAACAGGATGGATTTGCACCAGCCTTGTACGAAGCTGGTACACAGACCTGCTGAGGAAGGGGCCAGCCAAGCAGTCATGTGCCACTGGATGCCGCTTGGTTTTCTCTCACCTCATTACATGAGAATGACCAGATGGTTTATAAATACAATCATTTTTATTGAGTAGGAAGTAATTTAAAATGTGAATTATACCTGAGGCCATTTTAGGAAGAACTTTTTTGCCATGGTATAGTCACAGGGAAGCCAGATCCCAGATGCTGAAGTGTGGGGTGAAGCGAGGATGAGGACCAGGGAGATGAGAGAATCACCAGTGCCCAAGTGAGAGGATATTGTGCAAGGAGCTGGCAAATGTGGCTCAATTTTACAGAGCAGTGGAGGGAGAAGACTGCATTAGGGGCTGGCCTAGTTCAGTGGATGGTGACCTGGACACACATTATAATCAGCTGGAGAGCTTTAAAAAAAAAAAAGATCTGTGCTCAGATCCCAGGCCAGCCCAGTTAAATCCGAACCTCTGGGGGAGACACTCAGGCATTCAGGTATCTGTGTGTTGTGGATGAATCTCTACAGGTGACTGTAATGTGAAAGCAGCTCTGAGAACAGAGCTCCGGCCACAAGCAAGGCTGCTACTTCTTGCTTAGTTATACCTGACCTGGTGCAAATAAAATCACAATCACACACTTACATGCGTATACACATATACAAGTGTGTAAAACTCTGGTTAATGTTGCAATTTTAAACAAATAAATCTTTAGCATATTTACTGTCAGGGATCATCCTTGACTCTTCCTATTTTTTTGAGACAGAGCAAGTGTTGCCCGGGCTGGGGTGCAGTGGCTCGATCTCGGCTCACTGCAACCTTCGCCTCCCGGGTTCAAGTGATTCTCCTGCCTCAGCTTCTGGAGTAGCTGGGATTACCAGTGTGCACCACATGCCCAGCTAAATTTTTTTTTTAATATATTTTTAGTAGAGACAGATTTTACCATGTTGCCTAGGCTGGTCTTGAACTCCTGACCTCAAGTGATCCACCCACCTTGGCCTCCCAAAGTTATGGGATTACAGACCTGAGCCACCTGCCCAGCCCATCCTTGACTCTTCATCATTGTTGATGAAGCTGTGTGTGGAAGGCAATGGTGATGGGAATTCAACCTTAGACTAATCTCTAGGTCTACATGTGCAGTGGTTGACTTGATTTTTTTTTTTTAACTCATTATTGGTATCTTTTCAGATGTGTAGGAAAAAAGATTCTGGATATACAAACCAAATAAACTAGGGCTTCCTCATCTTACTGAGTTGGTGTCTCTGTCATTTCCCTAGTTGTTGTCCATAACTGGTTTCCTTTGACTAAAGTAATTGTATCTGAGATTATTCTCCCTTTGAAGATCTCTCAGCCAATCTTGTTGCTGAGGGCATCAGAAGAAGATTGAGAGGGTTATACTTGTGCCTTTTTTAAAGGGTTTGCCTACAGAGTGTGGTGTGAGATGTGGGGGAGCCCACAAGGATTTTTCTAGAAGTTTCTATCCTCAGAGATTTGCTCTAACAGAGGGTAGGGTCATGGTTCTGAATTAGGCATCCTCTTGCTCATGCTGGTTAATCTGATACATTTGGACTTCAGAGTCCTATCCTTATGCCACAAATGTGGGCTAGTCACCCACTTTTTCCTTGTGATATATCCCAAGGAAGAAAAGCATCATAAGATTTAGAGATGGGGCTTCCCTCTCTGTGATTAAAAAAAAAACCTAGGTCCAGTTCAGAATGAAGAAACTGAAAAGAGAAAATCCAACCCTTTTCACATCCAACCCCACCCTGTCCCTGGGTGGCCCTTACTTAACCCATCACCCAGCACTCCCTCTAGGGAAAAGCCTGCCCAAAAACTTTGGTCCTAAGAAAAGCCTTACCCTAATAAAGAAACTGGGAGGCTGCTGCTGGGCTGCAGCTGCTTTTATGGAAGGAGCTAGACCAGAAGCTAGACTAGGGCCAACAAGTCAGGCCTCTGTAAGAATCTTCCAAGGAGGTAAGGCGGGGAGAAAAAGGATTCCTCATTTACATTGAGAGTAAACTTCCTGTCCTATTAAACAATGAGGCATTCAAAATCCGCCTGAGTAAAAGTCCCCTGATGCAATGAGAGGGTGAGCAATTTCATGTCAGGCTGTTGTTATGGGATTTATACATGTCCTAGCTAGGGCTTGAGGTGAAAGTCAGAGCCAAAAACAATAGCCCTAAACCCCACATGCACAGAAACCTCATTCCAGTGGAGTTTCCTTAAGAGAGCACAGCAGACTTTTCACAAACAAAGTGACTTCAAAGGTAGCCTTGCATCACTGCCTCCTCCACTTGACACTTCCCTTCAGCCCAGACCTGGCCCCTCTGTTTCTTGGTTTAATTTATGAGGTTCTCACACACATTGCAAAGCAATTATCTGAGCTGCTGGCCAACAGGAAGGTAATTGTAACTGAGTACTTCCTTTGTCAAACGCTGACGCTGGCCACCGCGATGGTGATGACGCTGGCCATGGCAATGGTGATAGGAGGCGTGCCGGCAGCTCAGCACCCAGTGACAGGATACCTCTGTTTCTCCCCCACCCCCAACACAATGCTGTCTGACTGAATTCTCCAGGGAGGAGGAAGCCAGTGGGTTGGAGGAATGGGGGAATTTTCTTACATCACTTGACGTGCTTGCTTTCACTCGCAAAATCCTGAGTCATGACTGAAGCTGTATTGCCTCAAGTCTCCGGCTGAAACCAGGGGTTATAGGTTTGGAAACCTGATTCCATCGGCTGCCTCTTGTCCAATCATCAGAGGAAATGTGTATTATTTCAGTTGATCCTCTTCAAGTTGAAGTGCCTTTGGATTGAGGGGATTACGTGAGGGAAGTGGCTCTGTAGTGGCTTAGTAAGCCAATGCCATGCGAGTGAACAATATTTGACATTCGGTGAGTTTACAGAAAGGGCAGTCTCTCTGTTTGTTTAAACCAAGATTAAGTGAAAGGAAAAGTTTTTCTTTCCCATCCCAAGACAAATGTGAAACACATGTTTTCCCTTTTGACTTTGTAAGTACAAGGCTCAAACAGTTCTCCCCACCCCCTTCGGCCATGAGTTTTTAAGGATTGCAGAATGTTTCCTCTCTTTGGTGGCCAAAGCCAATGTGAGCCTTTATATTTCCAGACAGTGGAGCTGATGATGATAGCCTAGTTGGTTCCAGGTAATCATGTAGGTTGTTTCTGGGCCTACCATTTTATGGGTAGATAGGATGGTAAGATGTAGTACAAGGAATCCCAGGCCTGAGTTCACTAAGCCTCAGTTTCCTCATCTACAAAATGAGATTGGTTGAACCTTAAATATCTCAGGTAATTTCTATCTTCAGAAAGGATGTTCATTCAGGTTGGTTTTTCTGGTATGTGGGGGACATTCCTAGTTGAGGTATCCTTTGCATGGGCACAAGGCAGTGTGCAGGCCTGAGGGTTGGGAGACCTCAGTCAAAGAGCCTGCCCTGCCATTGACTCACTGTGACCTTGAACAACTCACTTCCCCTCTTTGTGAATCCTTCTTATCTGAGAGAGGAGGTTTGACAGTCTTGCCCCTGACATAGCGGTTCAGATATGAGACAAGCCTGAATGAGACTGGGATGTCAAGTACTTTGAGCTCCTTGAAATGAAAGGATCATTCATCTTGGAAGATAAATTGTTAAAAAATGCTAGCTCATAACTATTTTTTTGGATTATCTCAAAAATAAAGTAAAGAAAATCAATGTTGTTTACTCTTGGTTTTCCTTTTTTTTTTTTTTTTTTGAGACGGAGTCTCGCTCTGTCACCCAGGCTGGAGTGCAATGGCGCAATCTCAGCTCACTGCAACCTTTGCCTTCCGGGTTCAAGCAATTCTCTTGCCTCAGCCTCCTGAGTAGCTGGGACTACAGGCACGTGCCACCATGCCCGGCTAATTTTTTTGTATTTTTAGTAGTGATGGGGTTTCGCTGTGTTAGCCAGGATGGTCTCGATCTCCTGACCTCATAATCCACCCGCCTCGGCCTCCCAAAGTGCTGGGATTACAGGCGTGAGCCACTGTGCCCGGCCCACTCTTGGTTTTCTTTAAATTGCTACTGGTTCAGGGAATATAAGCACCCAATGACCAACACGGGCTATAAAAATCAGGACTTTTACCACCCTGTGTTGGCCAAAGCAATGTTCCTAGCAGATTGCTTTGATCATGTTGCTACTCTGCTCAGAAACCTTCAAGATACTACTTGCCTCCAGGATACACTCCAAACTGACAGTCAGTTCCCCGTTGTGACCTGGCTTCACCTGCATTATATATCACCTCTTCTACATGAAATCCTAGAATTCACTAGCATTGCCACAATGATATTGGATCACCCCTGCAACATCTCATAAGTGGGTGGCCATTCTCTGGGTGCAGTGATAGGGAGAAGCCTCTGATACTCAAAGTAATCTGGCCTTTTTCTAATCACCCCTCATTGTTAGATACTTCTTCCCTATATTGAATGAGAATCTGCTTCATCACAAATCCCAACCAGCCATAGGTCCCACTGAGCTACCCCAATTCAGTTTCATTCCTCTTCTTCAATTTTTGAAGACAGTTATCATGTCACCCTGGAGAAATCTCTTTTCCAGACTAAACAACTGTAATGTCTTTAACAGATTTTTCATTGACTTGGTTTTCAGACTCCTAAATGTTGTTATTGTTACCTTTCCCTAGACATGCTTCAGATGGTCAATGTCTCTTTTAAAAACGTGAACCTTTGGACTAAATGCAACGCTCTAAATGTGGACTGGTTGGTGGCGCTAGTATCTCCTTTGTTTCTGTAATAGTTAGGTTAGGTAAGAGACATGACAATACTTCAGTGGCTTAAAGAATATAGAATCTTTTTTCTCTCAAGTAACCATCTTGAGAGTTGAGTGATGATGAGTGAGATGAGTGATCCAAGCAGGCAAGGGGCTGTATTCTCTGCAGTCATTCAGTGACCAAGGCCCCTTCTGACTGGGGATCTGCTATTCCATGTGGTGTTCTGGTATAAGCTGGGTTACTACCAAGCCTCAGATGCATCCAGCAAGAAAAGGAAAGTGTGAAGGGTAGGGGGGGTTCACCCACCTCTTAAGGGCCCCAGCTGTCACAGAAGATCTTTTGTTAGCATTCCACTCATGAAAACTCAGTCCCATGGCCATGTTCAACTGCAAGGGAAGCTGGGAAATATACTACAGCCAGGTAGCCCTGTGTCAGAAGCCCTATCGCTATGGAAGGACAGGAGAATGGACATTGGCAGCCACAGTGGGGACCAGCCTCATTGGTCTTTCAGTTCCAAAAACACATCAAGTTCCTTTCAGACTCAGGGCCTATGCACTCACTGTCCTGCTTGGAGTGTTTTGTCTCTCTGACTGTCCTTCCTCTTCATATGGCCTCAGCTCAAACACCACTTCCTCAGAGAGGCCTGCCCTGACCACTTCATGAAATGCAGGTCCCTTCTGACCCTTCCCCACTTTTATTTGTGCCCCTCCAGACCCCTTTCACAAGGTTTAATGATTTTATATGTTTACTTTTTCTGGTGTTTGTTTCTGTCCTCTACTAAACTGCAGGCTGTTTGTGGGAGGGACTCTTTCTGTCTTGGTCCCCAGTGTGTATTCACTGCCCAACCTCATACCTGACACATATTGGGGGACAAAATAAGGACTTGTTGAATTAAAGAACATAGTGACATGATATGTTTACTAAATATAGCCTTCTTTTGCCAAGTGCATTACACTGTTAGGTCATATTGTGGTAAACTAAAAGGCCTCGGTCTCTTTTCACATCAACTGTGGTTAAGACATATTTCTCCATCTGCTTTTTGAGAAGTTGATTTTTTGACCCTAGATACAGTATTTTGCATTTATAACTATTGTATTTCAGCTGCTTTTTTCGGTCTATCATTTTAGCCCCAAAAGATCTTTTTTGATATATCAATGAATACATTTATTTATCTCTTCCAGTTTCATATTATCTGGAACTCTGATAAGGTATCCTGTGTGCCTGTATGTTTCCTTATGTCATTGGCAAACAATAATGAAGATGGAAAAATGAAATGGGCCAAACATCAAGCCCTGTTATAGTACGGAAACCATCCTCTATCCTGCCATTGATCCATCACCTCTGGGGATGAATGTTGACTTACACAGACCACAGCCCTACCAAGAATATCACAGAGCCTATGTCAGATACCTTGCTGCAAGGAGTGGCATAATGGAACTCAACACAGTTGAGTTCTACTCTTACACAGAACAATAAAACTTTACATTAGAAAAAGACCAAATTCCAGCCAATCACAAGAATCCCTTGGACAACATCCTGTAGTTTACCAGTCTAGTAACCTTATAAAAAACAGGAAGTGACTAGTTCTTAGTGCACCCATGCTTGACTCTTAGCAATTATTGTTTTCGCATAAGTGTTTGCAAACCCTTAATTCAAAATTTGTTCTGAAACTTTTCCAGGATTTCCTTTCTGGAAATCCTGCCACACTGGTCCATTTTCTATCACCAAACCCCCTTCAATCCTCACACCTCTGAGCAGTCACTCCTCTGTTCCTCTTAGTAGGAGATGCTCTTCCTGTCTGACTCTATGTATACAAACCCTGACCTCCCCTCAAGATCCAGCTCAAAATTCACTCCCTCCTTGAAACTTTCCCTCACCATGCTAGACCTCTCTCTCTGCTCTGAGGTATACGTTAAACTGTTGGTATTTGTTAACCCTATTCCTCTTCAGGGCTTATTGCTGCTGCATCAGATGGGCTGCCTGAACAGTTCAGGACTTCCTTTCATCGGACCCAGCCAGTGCCTTGCACAGAACCCATTCCCAAGAAGGTATGTACATTGAGTTGACCACTGACAATCAGCATCAACTTATGCTCAGGGCCTAGCCCCTCATTCAAACTTTGGCCAATTCTGTGCTCAAGGGCTAGATGATGTGGTCTTCTAGTGTGTTTGGAAATAACAAAATTTTTTGGTTGTTGCTTTAAGTAAAAAATTATAAAGTCCCAAAGAAGCTGCAGAATTATTGGATTTTTTTTTTACATGATGGGAAACCAATCTGCTTAATATAAAATTCTGGAAAATCAAGGTGGGTATGGACAGATGATTAATCTACACCACAACATTTATACATCTTGAATGTTCCGGCAGCAAAGGAGACAAATCAAAATTCAGAGCTACAAGCAAAATATTTTTGGAAGTGTTTACTCGCCTTTCAGATGCATATTTAGATTTACAAAAGATTTCCAGTAGGGCTTCTTTAACTACTTGTGTAGATTTAAAACAATTTAGTTTCTATGTAACTTTGGAAGAATAAGTCAATGTAATAACGTGAAGTCCACCTGCACTGAAGTTCCCTTGGTAGCATCAGTATCTGGCAGAGCTACCAATGCCACATCATACCATATTGAGAGGAAAAAGTTAGCTCTATTAGATCATTGACTCTAATTCCTCCCAACTGCAAATAAAAACTTTGTACCCTGAAGGGGAGGGGACTGAGAAAGGAATGAGTCTCCCACTGCTGGAGTCCCCCACCTGCCACAGCACTCATAGAAGGAGCCCCCCTCCTCTTCCCATCCTCCCAAGCCAGCCACCTCCTTCAGAAAGTTTCAGAGAGAAACTTTCTTTCCTATCAAAAAATGCTGATGACTCTATTTGCAAAATGTCTCATTATAAAAACCTTCTCTGCTGCTTGCTTTCTGAGCTTTAATAAATCCTGGATTAGTATGAAAACCACCCAGGCACTGACTCTCCACATTTCCCGACGAGCTGTCTGGAGTTGGCTTCTTCTTCATGAGTAACTTCTCCAAACTTTTGGAAAATTGCCCAATGCCAGGAACTTAGGACCACCAGATCAACTTCTCAGAGCAGGGAAAGAAAAATCACCATAATGTCAGTCCTGAAAGCTGGCACTGGCCTCTCCTCCCTTGTTTCTCTCTCTTTCCTTGCTGGCCTTTCTTGCTCATAGCAATTCATGCATGTTCCCCCCACTTTTTTGACTAAAAATAGAATCTGGGTTCCCAGCTATCACCTTAAATGTACAACATGTGGGTTTTCAGTTGGCTATTAGCTTTGCTCTTTCTTGTAACTCCTCCACGATAGGACATTCAGAGCTCAGGAGGAAGCCTCTTTTCTAGTTATTTCCATTCAGTGCTTCACTCTCTTTAAATGTGTCCATCCAGATTTCTAGGAAATTGCAGTGCTACAGCTGTTCTCTCAAAAGGGCCACATTAAAGTTTCCAATCTCAACACTTTTGCTGGCTTGCATTTCATGTGAGCTCAGGGCCACTTTCACAGTTTCCAAAGTGTCTTTCTAGCCTCCACCTTTCCTTCCCTCATTTCCTTCTGCTTTTCTTTCCCTCTTGGGTGAGCCTCCATGAGAAGAGTGCTTCAACCTTACTGGAGCATGCTGCCCCTGTCACCCCCTTAGCAGGGGTTTGGCCGAGAGGCATAAACAGGTGCCAATGGGGACTTCATAGTGCCATCGAAAGTTACACCAGTAACTGCAAGAGATAACCGTGCTAGGGATAGTGGCTGAAGCTATAAGATGAAAGTAGTCGGGGGAATTCAATGCCCAGAAGACACATTCAGAAGCCAGCTGACTTGTAAACATGTCTTACCATCTGCAAGATGGTAAATGAAATGTACTTGAACTGCAGAGAAAATTTTGTGGTCTGGAGGCTGCTGCAGTAATCCAGGCAGGAGAAGATGTTGCCCTGAAATTACTTTAGTAGAGAAAGAGAGGGTTGAGGGGCGAGAAGGAATTCAGGTGATATGTATATAGCATTCCAAATTATTTCACTTGGTCCTCACTTGTAAAGAATGATTATCCCCATTTCACAGGTGAATCTCAGGGGGTGCTGAATTGCTCACCCAAGCCCACATGGCTAATAAGTGGTCCTGAGAGGACTGGGGTATTAGAATAGTATACCATTGCCAGCTAGTAGTCTCTTAGCACAAATTGGACCCCTAGTAGGACTTAGAGAGAGGAGACGTAGGGCAAGTGAGTTTAATTGTGGGAGAAAAGGTTCAAGCTCAAGTCATGAGTGGTTTTCCAAGACAGCAGGCCTGGGTGGGGTGTGGCCTCAGGGAGTCCTGGGAGATGGGAGGCATGGTGTGAGAGCACAGGAACAGCAGGCAGCAGGGTGTCAGGAGAGGAGCCCTGAAGACTCCTCTTTGGGTAGGGGGACACCAAAACCAAACGTTCACAGCTTAAGCTAACTGATCAGTATGTCTTGGAGAAAGACAGCTTTTGACTGAAATATAAGACACTATAGCTGAGCTGGGCAAGGAATGAAGGAGGAAGACTCAGGGCAAGGAGGGAGCAAGGCCATGGTACACGTGCCATGTACGTGGTACAGGTGCACTCAGATCAGGTCCTCCATAAACTGTGAGATATGGGGCAGCCAACACAGGCTATGTACAATAGTCACTACCCACCCATCCCCCACCCCCAGGAGATAATGGTGAAACTTCAATGCAATTATACGCATCAGAAACCCTTTGTAAGTCCTCTGTAAGTGGTGAGCTCTAATATAACATATTAGGGTGAGTTGTAGTTACTACCTACTAAAGCCTTCTCTGGAGAAAGATTGCTAGTCTGCTCCTAGGTACTCACTGGTCCCCAGATCCTTCCTTGAAGGAGTCTCTTTGGAATCTGGATGAAGTGGTAACCTTCAACAGCTAATAGGCTGTTGGTTGGAAGGGCTTATTAGTTTCCTGTCCCAATGCCTTGTCATTCCCCCAAGACTAGAAGCGAAGACTCAGACAGAAAGAATTAGAACTAGTTTTCAAAACACTGGAAACAGAAAGAGATTTGACCTTAGTTTTCGGGTTAATGAAAAAAACTTTTTTTTTTTTTTTGAGGCAGGCTCTTGCTGTGTCACTCAGGCATGATCACAGCTCACTGAAGCCTTGACCTCCTGGACTCAAGTGATCCTCCCACATCAGCCTCCTGAGTAGCTGTGACTACAGGCTAATTTTTGTACTTTTTGTAGAGATAGGGTTTCACCATGTTGCCCAGGCTGGTCTTGAACTTCTAGGCTCAAGCAATCTGCCCTCTTTGGCCTCCCAAAGTGCTGGGATTACAGGCATGAGCCACCGCACCCGGCCCAAATTTCATTTTTAAAATTTCGAACAGCAGCTGCCTGCAATGGTTACAAGGGGACCTAAGACTAGTGACTGTAGGAAGTGGGGAAAAAGGTATTTTAAAGGAAAAAATAAGGAGGTGGGGTGAGTTTAGGGGCTCAAGTTAGTGAGTTTTGGTTTCCAAAAGAAGCCAACTTTGACTTAGCAATTAAGATACACCTGATTTTCTGGTAGCACAATTCAAGTTAGAACATTGGATAAGAAGTTTGAAAGAACAACTCAGTTGCATGAAAACTTCAGAAGATACTTATTGTGGAAATTTATGTACATACAAAAGTAATTCCCAGAGAGGGCCCTTTGAAAAAGTTGGCCCTTGGCCCTCCTCTTCACTTCCTCACCTGAAAATGGGTAAACAGCTCAGGGAAAGAGTGAGAATCAATGCAGCCATATTTCTGATGATTCAATGATTTTTTTTTTTCTCCAGAGATGGGGATTATTCTTTGACTTTCCCTTTTGAATACTGTTTTCTGTTTTTGTCTCTTTAATTAGAGACAGAAATTCAATTAACAAGGAGGAAAAAGAGAGAGTCTTTTCAAGCCAATTTCCTTGTGCTCCCAAGAGTTTTTGAGGTTAGGTCAGCACATATCTATGCTGTTTACCTCTTTGGCTGTTGACAGGATGGCATGTGACTTGGCCAAAAGCTGTAGCTGGCCATAGCAATGACCACTACTGTCTTGGCTTCAGAGATGCTTATTGTCTTGGCATATAACAACAGTTTTGTTTACCAGAAAAATGTTTTTTTTAAAAAAGATATATTATTATATTTATTATATTTTTGCAACACCTATCAAAGAAAGAGAAAGCAGCCATGCCAAGGTACAATTAGAGGTCACTGTGCTGTATCAAGCACTTTGGGTTTCCTGTTGACTAGCCTACATTCCTCTTTGCATTAAGACTCACAGCGGCTCCCCCACACCACCCCCACTGCCCCTGCTACCTTGCCCCTAAGAAAACTGAACTTTATAAAGTGAACGTAAATGAAATGCTTTGAAGGAAAAAGTCACAGTATGTCTCTAGGCTGAAACACTTTTTTCAGGTTGCTTAAAAGAAATTATATTTGGCCCATTTTCAGGGCAGCTCTTTGGCTTGGGGAAAAAATGCATCTGCTAAATCAGCAGTCCTCTACCCCACTCCATTCCACCAATCATAAGTGCTTCCAAACTTAGCTGGGCCAGTACTTAACACAGTAGACTAAGAAAATGATCTGAATGTTCAATCAAATCAGTATCTTCTATGAGAGAATATTCACAAAGCATAGTTAATTGAAAAAAACGGAAAAAAATACACACACACACACACACACACACACACACACAAAGGAAATATACTAAAGTAAGGAGTGGGACTATGGGTAATTTTTTTCTTCTTTGTGCTTTTCTTATTTTGCCATAAGCAGATATTATACTCATAGCAAAGCATGGTGGTTAAAAGCACAGACTTTGGAGTCAGACTGCCTGGTTCAAATCCTACCTTTACCACTTCCTGTGGTGACATTAAGCAAATTACTTAATTTCTCTGTGCCTCAGTTTCCATATCTGTAAAATGGGGATAAGGATTGTACCTATCTCAAAGGGTTGTTATGGGAATTAAAGAGTTAATATGTATGACATGGTTAGAACACATCTAGCATACAGTAAACCCTAAGTGTTAAATGAAGAAAGCATTAATTTTTCATTTAGTCAAAGTATGGTTAATTTTCTCTAGAATGCTACTTGCCATTCTACGACATTCACATTTTATTATATGTGTTGCTGAATAGAGGGCACATACATCCCAAAGCCAATGTTTGTCCTCAACTAACGTAGTTAGAGTGGATGCTTGACATTTGGTGGGTGTCGAAAATTCTTACTTCCCAGAGGCCATGACAAAATGCAGGGATTTCCCAAAGATATACGATGACCCCCCCACCCCCAACCCCTTCTTTGGTCGTAGATGAATTATGGCAAGCCTTATTGTCTCCTAAACCACAGGTTATACTATCGCAATTTGATTAATGACGTTCACAGAACTGAAAGGATCCTTGACCTTTGGTAAATTATGCCCCCCTTGCCCAAGAGTTGATAGCCTTGGGTAAACCTATGTTCAGTGATACGTGCTCCACTTCCTCACGTAGGCCTGGGAGGTGCAGAGGGAAATGAGAACCAACTTTGTGGCAGACAGTCAAATAATTGTGAAATTGTTAATGGCTGATAGGAAAAGATGGAGGAGGTAATGATGAGGCAGAATTAGTTCTGAAAGATATTTTCCCATCAGTAAGAGGGTCTTCACACAAAAGCAAACCCACAGTTTAAAAAAACTCTAATATTGTGGAAAGTGAGAAACAAACACTTTATGTTGTCTTGCAGAATAAAAAACTGAATGATTGAGCTATTTTTTCATTTTGTAATGAAAAATGTTATGTTGATGAGGTGTAGCCCAAAAGCTGGCAGAAATAAGTAAACAGAAAAAAAAAAAAAAAAGGACAGAAGGAGGGAGGGAGGAGGGGTCTCCTATCCAGAGGAGAGAAAACAAGATGGCACTGAAAATCATATAAAATCACCACTGATGCTGTTTCCTTTCAGCCAATGGAAAAATATTCTAGAAAAAGGAAACTCCAAATCTCTTGTTTACCCAGCTGTCTGTACAAAGTGAATTATTCATGATTAAATGTGAATAATAAACCTATGCAAATATTTGTTGTATTCTTAATTTTGAGGAGGTTGGGGGAGCAGCAGGAAGTCATTTTAAAGTGATTTAGTTAACTATCACCTTTAAAATTAAATCAAGAAAGAAAAAGATTTTTGATTGTTATTTATATATGCCTCCCCCCCCAAGAAAAACACACAAGGTTGTTTTTTTCTTAGGAGGCTTATGTCCTATTGGAAATGACAATTTAAAGCTTTTCTCTTAGTATTATGACCTTTATATAATTTCCTTAGAAACTAATAGTGAAAGCTCTTTTTATTTTTTTTTTTTTAATTTTACTGGCTTTAGAGGGCTGAAAAGCTTACAGCAGAGGTTCTTCTATAAAGGGAAACCTTAACTGACAAGTTTCCAGGTACCTGCTGCTTACTGTAAACTCTTACCTATAAATTTCAGTTATAGGTTTTTGATAAAGGGAATATTACAATAATACTGATACCTGGCAGTTTTTAGCTGTTTATCTTTTTGGTTGCAGAATTGGTTTAACAGTTTCCACCAGAACTGTTAGACTAATGACTTTTAGCTAGAACTATGTTAGAGTTTATTTAGCTTATCCATTTTAAGAAGCACTTGAAATCTAAACAATAGTAAGTTATTGAAAGGTGGTTTATCGTCTTGTAAACTCTGTAACTTTTCTACCTCTCTACACATTGTATCATCACCATAATCTCTTAAACAGTTCATAGCATGCAAATGATTGCTTTATATACTATAATCATAAATGAGTTTCATTAATAAAAACAGCTTCCCTGTGGGCCTCATTTTGAAGGCTGAGTTGTTTCTGACTAATGCCCAAGTTTCAGTTAAGCATAAACTAGGTTCCGACGAAGCTCGCTTTTGCTCGACAGTAACCCAAATGCCTGGAGGAGGGGCCAGAGAACTGGTCCAGGCTCTCCTGGTTCCTGGGATCAGGATCTCTCTAGAACCACTGATGATGAATGGGCTGGTCCCTCAAGGGAACCCTCCATTCCTCCTCCAAACTATCCCAGAGCCCAGGCAGAGGGATCACAGGTACTGTGCCAGATTTAGAGTAGACTGTCATAACCCACTGCTTCTATCTCCTGGTTGTTAAAAACCCTAGGTGGAAAGACAGGTTCACTATCCACATTTTGCAACTAAAGAAACAGTGGAATAGAGAACTAAGAGACTTGTCCAGAAATAAAGGGAGAACCAAGATTAAGATTACAATCCAGACTTTGACTGTAATGAATATTCCATGTTACCCTGCCTTGCACCACTGTCCCATATCTACCTAGAAACCAATGAATTGGTGGTTTGCCAGTTGCCAGCACAATCCCTAGCACCACACTTAACCTGCTGTTATCTTTTTCTTCTGCTATTATCATTTCTGTAGATTTGCAGTGTGAAAATGGACCATACTGTGGAATAAGAGAGCAGAAAGTCATCTAATCTACTCCCCAGGCTTTAGGCAGCACGGTGTCAAAACCAACCTAGATTTCCAGAATAGATCGTTCTACCACCTCCTCTGGAATTTGAATGCCATCGAATGCAACCTGAGTCTATTTTCTTTTATTCTATGTTGACTGAGGACAACTATTTTCTTGTTTAAAAAAAAACCAAAACATTAAAATAGCATTTTAAGGTTAATTGACAATGTTAATAAGTGGCAAACTTAGGCCTCAAATAGAAGATGATAAGTAACTTGAAATGTTTGGAAAAAGATGATCTATATTTAATAAAACTCCATCAGTGAGTGAAAAGTTTCATTATTAGCATTTTCACTGTTCTGTCTCTCATAGTCTACAGTTATATTAGCAAACTTGCATTTCACTTTATGGAAACTTGTCTCCATTATGATTTAGTTCAATGGTTTCCTTCTCATACTATTTCAGCTAGAGAGTCATTTCATTATGCTGGGAAGTTTCTGAACATGTAATGTAATTAATTCCTTTAATAGACTCCTCTTTATGGAAGACCCATTAGTAGACATCACTGTGAATTAACATCTTAGTCCAGGAAAAAAGCTCTTTGGAGGCAACAGTGAAACAGCTAAATCTTTGTTGAGAGATGCGACCAGAGGATTTAACCGCATTCCTTGTGGTTTCAGAATGACATGCATATTCTGGGACCCACAGATAGGGAGAGATACTTGTCATTCTCAGTAATGCCCTGACCACACCAATTCTTTAACATACAGAGATAGTTCTAAATGTTATAATTTCTTAGAAGAAAACATCATGGGGTTGTGCACATTGAAGGCAGGGGAATGAAGTGAAAATCTGCCCACTGGCTAATGCCTATGAAGTAAGGCTACTGGCTTTCTTTTAACTGACAAGTTAAAAGTACACTTGAAGGCTTCTGGACAACTTCCTTCTATATCAACCTACTAAGGATTGGTCTTCCCTCTGAATCTCGATGAATAGCAATGAACTCTTTCTGTGTGGGTCTGAATATTTTCTTATATTATTTTTACATATGATCACTGGAAGCCGATTGTTCTGAGTTCAAAATTCTGACTTTGCTATGTACTAACTGTGTGACCTTCATCAAGTGATTTAACTTCTCTGTATCTTAGATATCTTATCAGAAATTGAGATAAAAGCAGTACCTGCTTCAGTTGGTGAAGAGGATTAAATGAATGAGCACATGTAGGTGCTTAATGGAGTGTCTGGCCTGGAGTAAGTGCCACTGATGTTGACTGGTATTGTGATTAACTCTGCTGAGTGGAGGTCCCACCACGGGCATGCAGGCCTGTAACACGAAAGCTGAAAAACTCTGACAAAGCAGAGGAGTTGGTGCCTGGGCCTGGGGAGGGTGGGCTGGCGGCAAAGGGACACAAGGGAACTTCTGGGGTGACAGAAATACTCTATATAGTGGTTACCCCAGTGTAAGTTAAAAAACATTCAAACAATTGTTTCCCTGATTATCCCATTTAATATACTAGTCCAGGCTCTAATCGCCTTACATCTGTATTAATGCAATAGTCTCCTGGTTGATTTTTCTGTCCCTGAGCTCTTTCTTTTTTAATTCCTCCTTGGCGTACCCATGCTCACTCCCATTTCTGGGGCTACTTCAATAATCATGCCTAGAACAGTATATGAGCCATTTGTTTAAAAGGGAGGGAAAGAAATAAATGTGCGTAAGCAAGTATGTTTGCTTGTTTATGCCTAAAATAGCTCTGGAAAGACATATGAGAAAGCGTTTATGTTAGTTCCCTATGGGGAAGGAAACTGGATGGCTGAGGGACTGGGTGGGAGGGAGGTTTTTCTTTATATATCCTTTTGTTCCTTTTGAATTTTAAATCATGTGAATGTATTACCTGATCAAAAATAAATAAATAAAAATAATAAAACCCTACCGAGTTAATCTATTCATTCAACACATATTTTATTTTTGTTTATTTGTTTATTTTTTAAAGATGGAATCTTGCTGTGTTACCCAGGCTGGTCTCAAACTCTTGGGCTCAAGCAATCCTCCCGCCTCAGCCTCCTGAGTAGCTGGGACAACAGACACACACCACTGCACCCAGCTCATTCAACAAATATTTACTGGTTATCTATCACTTGTCAGGCACATAGCAGGGTTAGGGTGTCCACAGCCATGATTGTGTTTCATTGGCAGATCCTTCATAAACTGCACGTCACCAGCCCTGTCGCTTGTTTAGCTTTAAAGCTTGCTTTTAGGAGATAGAAAGTCCACTGGTTAATCACAGTGGCCATGGCTGGCATCTGATTTAGGAAAAAACAAGGTCAGGGTCAATTATGCTACAAAGGACCTCCCTCCACATACTGAAAAGACGTAAAAAGCTGTAGAAGTGGCAAGGGTATCAGATGATACCTCATAACTAATGTTTATTGAACATTAACTTTCTATGTGCCAGCTATTCTTCTAAGTGCTTTTCCTGTATTAACTCATTGAGCTCTCACAATAGCTCTGTGAGAAAGACACTACTATTGCCCCCATTTCACAGATAAGGAAGCTGATGTACAGAGATAGCAAGTAAAACATTAAAATTGTCGAACAGAGTCATACAGCTAGTAAGTAGGGTGACCAGGGTTTGAACCCAGATAACGTCTAACTCCAGAACCCTCAGTTTTAACCACTTTGCTGCCTTTTGGAAAAAGGATTGATAAAATGTTCCTTTGCTCTAAAATCTCCATTGAAATTCAACTATTTATAGAAGTGTCACTGAGTTTTATAGCTAGAAGAGACTACAGTATTCAGTTGGTTCAATTCTTATCCGAATGGACATCTTGCACAACTAGTCTTGAACACTTCCGGTGATAAGGAACTCATTACAGCCAGAAGCAGTCACCATCTGACAGTTTTCATTGCTATCAAAAACAGTCAAATGTTGATTGCCTTCCATGTGCCAGGCAATTTGCTAGAGCATTGGGGGAAAATTCTTTAATAGGTTGAGGCCAAATCCGCATCCCTGGGATGTCCTCCCATTGGGTCTATGTTCTACGCTTTGGAACAACACAGAATGTGTCTGTGGTTACCTGCATTTTATGACAGACTTTCATAAATTTAAAGACAGCTACAAAGTTCCCTTTAAACTTTCTTCTTCCTTGTTTATTCAGTCTGTTCTCATATCACAATCCCTAGGTGAGATTCATTTTTCTAATTAACAAGCTTCTGTTTTAAAATGCAAATGTGGGAGGGCAGCATATTAAGCTTCGTCTGATGCTTCTCTCCCATTGAACTATCTTGATGGAAAGGGAGTTTCGATTTAGGGAAAGGAGTGGGGAGGGTTCTGAGAACAGAGGCAATTGGAAGCATGGTTCAAGTGCTGGCCCCAGGCTTGCACAGGCTGTTGATGTAGGAGCTCTGGGTAGGCAAAAAGCAGCATAGAAATCCAAACTCCTGAGGCCAGGTGCAGTGGCTCACACCTGTAATCCCAGCACTTTTGGTGGGCAGATAGCTTGAGCCCAGGAGTTCAAGACCAGCCTGGGCAACGTGGCAAAACCCCGTCTCTACAAAAAACACAAAAATTAGCCAAGCATAGTAGCACATGTGTGTAGTCCCAGCTACTTAGGAGGAGGCTGAGGTGGGAGAATTGCTTGAGCCTGGGAAGTTGAGGCTCCACTGCACTCCAGCCTGGGTGATAGAATGAAACCTTGTCAAAAAGAGAAGAGAAGAGAGGGAGGGAGGGTAGGGTAGGGTAGGGTAGGTTAGGGGAGGAGAGGGGAGGAGAGGAGAGGAGAGGAGAGGAGAGGAGAGGAGAGGAGAGGAGAGGAGAGGAGAGGAGAGGGAAGGGAAAGGGAAAGGGAAAGGGAAGGAAGGGAAAGGGAAAGGGAAGGGAAGAAGGGAAGGGAAGAAGGGAAGAGAAGGGAAGAAGGGAAGGGGGGAAAGGAAGGGAAGAAGGGAAGAGAAAAAGGGAAGGGAAGGGAAAGGAAGGGAAGGGAAGGGGAAGAAAGAAGGAATCCTAAGTTCCTGGAGACAAAGTGGACACGCTAAGAGTTAAAAAGCAGCCATCACGATGAGTAGTGACTATATGTGTGCAGGGCAGTTTACTTGAATCCGCTTGCTTAAATCTCACAAAAGTATGAAATAGGTGTAATTATTATTCAGATTTTATAGATCGAATAAACTGGGGGCTAGAGAGATGAAATATCTTATCTAGAAAATGAGAGGTTTTGAATCTAGCAGCCTAGGCTTTTTCTTCACTACCTTGCTAAAAGGAAGATGAAAAACTAACTTTGCTTGCTTACCCTAGAGCCAATTAGTAATTACCCATATGGAACCTAGATGCTCCAGACTTCACCAGCCTTCAGGAGTCCTGAAATACCCAAACAACAACCCCTTAAAATCCACTCTTATACCAGGTTTCTAAGTGTCTGAGACCCCAAGGAATGCTCCACTAGTGCCCCATAGATGTTTCTGGCTATCTCAAGCAGCCTGCCTCTCCACTCCTGCCATGGAAAAACCCATGCACTGCTGAACCTCATGGCACAGGTAAGTCCAGACTAAAATGTTTAATGAGCCTGGGCATGCTGGCTCACATCTGTAATCCCAGCACTCTGGGAGGCTGAGGCGGGCAAATTGTTTGAGCCCAGGAGTTTGAGACCAGCCTGGGCAACATGGCAAAACCTCATCTCTACTAAAAAATACAAAAATTATCTGGGCATGGTGGCATGTACCTGTAGTTCTAGCTACTTGGGAGGCTGAGGTGGGAGGATCACTTGAACCTGGGAGGTCAAGGCTGTAGTGAGCCATGATTGCACCACTATACTCCAGCCTGGGTGACAGAGTGAGACCATCTCAAAATAAAATAAAATAAAAGTTTAATGAGACTTTACTACTTTACTACTAAAGGATCTGGGATAACATGATGGAATTATAACACAGGAAAAAGCCCTGAAGCTGAGTAAATCAGCCTATTACCAGAAACGCTGGCCAATCCCTTTCTCAACATCCTCTATTGAGCAAATCTCATGTGCAACTTCCAGCCAGGTTGCAAAGGAATAGTTTACACATAGCCAGTGGTACCTGTGAGCCACCACCTACTGTAAGACTGAGTTTGCTCCTCCCAGACGGCAAAACTCTAATTGCAGAGATATTGTGCACCCAAGGGGATATTATATGAGCAGATTAGCTCCTTAGGACCTCAAGTCTTGCCATTTCTAAATAGGAATTTGACTTTACCAATGGATAACCCAAGGGCCCATTAATAAAAGCTTTTTTCTTTTTAACTAAGACAAGGGTGTCCTCCTTCTCTATCAAAACTGGAAATTATGTATCAAGTCTCAGCCATGACCTCAGTACACAAATCACACAGTCACACTGAAAATATTACCTTTTTTTCCTTTAAACAAACTAAAAATGTCTAAAGGGGATACATTTAGGCATTTTCTCGCTTGTACAGAATCTAGAATCCTACATTGTAGCAGACCTTGACTTAACTCTTACATGCATAGTGTGTTCAGTTTCATTTTATTATTTGGGACCTCTTTCTAAATGATGATGATTATAACTGAGAATTATTTTATTATAATATTTTGTGGAAGTCCCTAAATATCCAATACTGTTGGGTTTGAAACCATAAATTGACAATTTTAAGATACATTAAAGTTGGCTCTAATGGTTAGTGGAATTTTAAGAACACACACACAACTCTGAACTCATGTGAATGCAACTTTGATACTGATGAACATTTCCAGCCTCTTCCTGGAAGAGGTGAGCTGGAGAATGAAAGGACCCAGACAGCAGAGGGACCTGCAAGAGGGGAAATGAAGGTGTGGTTTCGGTGCCTGGCTTCAAAGGCTGGCGGCAATCATGAACCTAACCCATGTCTTTCCAGCTAGACCAAATTTCTGTAAAGACAGAAAAACCCCAAACAGCCAAATTCAAATTTCCCCTACATAACTTTTTATTTAATAATGTCTCAGTTTCCAACTATCATCATCTAATCTTTGTGATCACACTGATGAACCAAGCACAGTCAGAGTGAGGGAATGGCTGGTCTAGAACAGCTCAGGCATCCCAGCATGGGGCCTGTTTTCATTCTTTTCACTAAAGTGTCAGCTCCTTGATGCACTTGTGTTTATTCATCCCATTACAATTAAGAACCAAAATGAATAGAGAAAAGATTTCTTTCCTTCTAATAAATCATTCAGTAGATAGAACTGAATACACTCCAATATTGATAGCTGGTTGCATATTTGAGCTCTGCTGTGTAAAATCAGATAGTTCACATTTTCACAGTTCTCAGATTCCCTTGGTAACAGATCTCCTTCCGTGTGTGCCCAGCCAAGGGCACAGGCCCAGAAACTTCTCTGTTGTCTCACATACACACTGCCTCAGAAACACACAGTCCACCTACTGGCAGTGATAAAGACTGTTCAGATGGGGAAAGAGGTGTTAATAGAGATAATAAAATCACTATAGAAATTTTCTAGATAGATTCAGATTTGAGACTTTGACTTAAAGGATCTGTCAGCCTTAGGCTAAGTTTATGACTATCACAAATACAGATTATGAGCTCAATTCCCCTTGAAGCAAAATAGTTCCTTTTGAAATCCAGATTAACTAATTACTCAGTAGTGCTAATTTGCTTTGAGAGTCTTTATAGAGTTTTTGTGAAGCTCCTCTGTGTTCAAATACCTGCAGTGAAGACAAGCTCACTAACTCACAAGGTAGCCCATCTCAAAATTTTGACAACTGACAATTGTAGAGTTAAAAAGCTCCTCCTGGGCTGGGTGTGGTGGCTCATGCCTGTAATCCTAGCACTTTGGGAGGCTGAGGTGGCTGGATTACTTGAAGTCAGGAGTTCGAGACCAGCCTGGGCAACATGGCGAACCCCCATCTCTACAAAAGACACAAAAATTAGCCAGGCATGGTGGCACATGCTTGTAGTCCCAGCCAGTCCGGAGGTTGAGGTGGGAGGATCACTTGAGCCTGGGAGGTCAATGTTGCAGTGAGCTGAGATTATGTTGAAAAAAAAAAAAAAAAAAAAAGCTCCTCCTTATAAATTGATCTCCTATAGCCTTTACTGATTTGCTCTTAGACCTTCTCTCTGGAGAGACACAAACCTAATTCCTCTACTAGACAGCTAATCTCTTTATGTGATTCTCTTCAAAGAAATTATAGTGACTCAGTCTACAATTCTATCAAGGATATAAGTCCAATACCTTTCCCCTCCTTCTTTCAGTGGCAGAGCAGGCTTTCATGAGTCCACTTAATATGCTAAAAGAAGGGGAAATGCTCCTCCTTGCCTGCAGGCCCCAGTGCTATAGCCCAATTTAAGACCCCAGTTTGGTAGGCTGCCCTAGATAGTCAAGAATGGCTGAGAGTCTGGCAAGGGGCAGTGCTGAACAGGCAGGCTCCCTGGGATTTTCCTACAGAGATTCACTTTAGTCTGGGTCAGAGGTCATTGGTTCTCCATTTTGTGTGTGTGTGTGTTAGAATCTGGAGAGTTTTCCACAGTGCCTGAACCTGAGAGTTTGATTTAGTAGAAATGAGGCAGGCCTAGTAATCCATATTTTAACAAGCACTCCAATTATTGATGTTCTCACTACACTTTACATTTGGAGAGATACTGATGTTAGCAAAGAAACTTTTCCTTTCTGTGTGAAAAAAGATGAGCAAAAAAAAAAGTCTTGTATTTTCATTTTATTTAACCATAAGTCACACACTTAATATTTAACTTATTGGTCCTATCCATTTAAATTAAATTACTAAACCTCATTTTATAAGTTACTAAATCTCATGTTATATAAATAATAGAAATAACACTTTAAGTCATCTATTGTTCATCTCATACTAATCATCAATTAAGTCTATCCAAATTCTTCCAGAATAAGGAGGGAACTAATAGCATCATTTGCAGGTTACAGACTGATAAACTGAAGTGCTTCTTGGGAAATATTTAATATAGGTCTTAAGAAGAGAGCCAGACTCCTGAATTGCAGCATGTTCCGTGTTTCGGATTGGATAACAGAACAGGGCCTGGGGCCAGAGTTGAGGCAGGGCACATTTTGGTCCCACAATTAGCTGATCAACCTCGTGACTGAGGTTAACACATAAATCACACCTGGATAAGCACCTCCACACATCCTATGCAACTCTGTGGGAATTTTTAATACAGCTAGAGAGGGATTCCAGTATACAGGTTACAACAAGTCAAAACATTTCACAGTAGTCTAAATAGCTGAAGAGTTTAATTATGCAAAAAAATCCTTCTTTCCTTTGAGAACAACAGCTTCTTTCCAAAATAGCTGCTGTGGTTCTTTTACAAATATAATATAAAAGGTGCCTCATCTCTAACCCAGCTTTGAAGTAATGCTATCCAGAGGCAGCCCTATTGACCCGCTTTCCTTATGGCAAAGTGGACTCGCGTCCTACCTGGCCAGTAATTTAGCACTTAGCAACTGACAAAAAAAATTGAGCAAAAAATTTAGAAAAAGGTTTTGGTAACAGGAATGTACTTTCCTGCTAAGACAGTTTATGCATGTTTTTACAAAATAAACTTATTTTAAAATAAATGTAGAAGGAATATTTAGCTTTCATTTTCTGTTAGGGATGAAGACCTTCACTGGTTCACTGACCTTCCTCTTCTTCCTGGAGCACTCAGAACTTTGCTGACTGCACACAAAATTCATTCTTTGAATCTGTGAGAATCACCAGAGAGAGGCACAATTCAGCAGAGATTTTGACATCTGCACAAGACATATATAAGACAGGTAGACCAAGCATTAATCCCTCAAGCTGCATAACGGATCCAAACCTGCTTTCCTGTGGGCTGGTTTGGCCCTGCACAGAGGCCCTGCTGCCAGTATCAGAGTCTGGTATTCCAAGTTTCAGGAGCTGAGGTCCCTTGGAGGCAGCCAGTTTCTGAGACAGTTTCTTGGCTCTCTCTAGTGAATTCAACACATCCAACTCTTGAGAGAAGGTTGTTAAGTTGTGGGGCCAACAAGAAGCAATTAAGGTTTAGGAGAGATCTGGGGCACTGACTGCTTTAGAGGCAAATGTAATTTAAGTCCCAATTTCAGGTAGCAGAGACATACTGCCTTGTGTTTTCTATCGTGTGTTCAGAATAATGAATTAAGAAGAACCATAACCTTTCTACTGAGGAGTATGTTATTGATGAAAGGGAAGTTGGTTAGTGAATCATTATAGATATATATTTTGCCATTGAGTTTGGCTTTGGTGAAGATTTTAGAACTTATTTTTGCTTAACTGGGTGAACAATTAGATATATTATAATCTGCCAAACAATCCCTAATGCCTGGAATTCCAAAAAACAGATAGAGGACATTTATATATTTTCCAGCCACTAGATGGGAGGAAAGGTTTTTCCATGTCCTATGTTTTTTCTTTGGAAGGAAAATGGAATAAGATATATATATATATATATTATATTATATATATTATTATATATATTCTATATTATATTATATATATTATTATATATATTCTATATTATATTATATATAATATATTCTATAATATAATATATAATATATATATTTAAAGCAAGACTTGTGAGAATATATAGTAGAGTTTCTAAAATTATCCTTTTTGTCCTTCGTAGGAGAGGCATGTTATTATTATTGATATGTTACTATAACAAAATAGTGGAAGTGCAAATAAAACATTTAAGTGTCATTTAGGAACAAAGATTGTGTATCAAAATGGCTAACTTAAGTACTAATTCATCCTTCAGTTTTAGAAAGCAGTTGAATTTCTGATCTCAGGAACCACAAATTCCCTTTGGCTTATACTAAGACAGTAGCTATACAAAACTCTGAGAAAAGATATAGAGCAGCCCCTCAAATAACTCGTTTACTTACATGTAAAAATTTGAAATGGGCTGCTCTAAAGGAAAGGAAATAGCAACATAAAAAGTCAAAGCACAAAAACCAAGTTGTTATCTAGGAGATGAATTTGTTATGGTTTGACTGTAGGAAAAAAGTATCTGGTAAAAGTTAGCTTGTTGCTTGGCCATGCTTTCCATTCAAACCAAACTATCCTCACTTCTATCAAATCTGGGTACACATGAAAGAAGAGAAGATGAGTGTACGAATTCTCAACTGACCAGTTGACCTGATGGTTTAATAGTTTTGTTCTCTTTTTTCTTTCATTGTTCAAATAAATCCAAAGTTTAATTACAAGTTGCAGAACTGTAATTTTATTGCAGTAAGTCAAAATATCTTCAATATCTCAAGGTAATAGTGAGGCCTGGGAACTCTCAATGGTTCATAGAAAATTTGTGGGCTGAAAAACAAGTATGTTATCAGCCAGGGGACACTTCTTAACATAGACAAATAACATATACACACTATATAAACCAACAAATTTATCCACACAAAGGAACATTTGAGAAACATTTTTCAGGTGTATTCCAACTGGCTGAGTTTGTACACTTGACGCCAAAGCCAACAAGCCAAGCAAAAGGCCACTCATCAGGCAGGCTAGAAAGATTATCTGGTTGATCTGAACATCAGATGATCATCAAATGACTTCTAATACTTTTCATATTATATTTTAAACATACAGCTTTTTAAAGTGTTTCTTTTTAATTATTAAGTGTTTCTTGATGCAGACTAACAAGACGCTACTATGATCTGTTTACCAATAGAGCCTCAGGAGTAGAGTATCCACATATGTATCTGAAAAAAGCCCTGAAGATATGCTTTCTGTATATGATGTTGCCCTACTTTCCATCTTTGGTTTAGTAACACATTCTCCATTTGGGGAGCCAAAAAGTAGGCTTTGCCTTAAGCACAAATAGGATAGCCAGCTGATTTGGTAGCAGTATTTGGGAAGCTTTAGAAGGGATCCCTTCTTCTAAATGACTCTTTTTAATCACTTATTCCTTTATTCGCTCCCTTTAAAAATGCTTGTTACTTGAATGTTCTCCTAAAGTTCTGTCTTTGGCTGTCTTTCTCCTTATTCTCCACACCCTCCCTGAGTGATCTCATCCACTTCTAGGAATCAATTACCATTCATAAGCAAAGACCCCCACATTTATGTTTACAGCCTAGATCTTCCTTCTGAACTTCAGATCCATGTGTGTATCCAACTGCCGACTAAAAGTCTCCACATGGGTATTCCAAAGAAAACTCAAGTGCAGTCTGCCCAAATTGGAATTCATCATCTGCTTCTCTAAGCCTGTTCCCAATCTTCGTTCTCACTCACCCAAGGTGTCCAAGTTAAAAATCAGAGAATCATCCATGACTACTCCATCATTCTCATGCTAGCATCTAATTAATCACTAATTCCTTTTGATCCTACCTCCTTAATAGCTCTCAAATCCATCCATTGTCCTCTATTCCCATTACTTCTTTAGTGCAGGCAAACATCATCTCTCCCAATCACTGGTCCCTACTGCCACTATGACTGCCTCTCCAATCCATTGTCCACTCTGGAGCACAAGTAGTCTCATATGCAGATCTGACACATCGCTCTTCTGCTTCATCAGTCATCCATTAATAACTTCCCATGGACCTCAGAATAAAGTCTAGGTGCTTTATGGCCTTGGCCTATTTCTGCAGCTCCATCTTCCCCCACACTTAACCACTTGCAGTTCTAATGGGCCCTGCTTGCCCTACTCTGGACTTTACCTTCAATGCCCACTCCCACGCTTTGCTCCTCTCTTCTTCATTTGGTTCAGGGGCAGTTCCATAGTTTCTTCTGCCTGCTGGGCTTCCCTGACACCCCCACAGCTGTGTTCTGTTCTTACCCCTTTTGTAGGATTTACTATGCAGTATTATCAGGCCTACTTACTAGTCTTCCCATCCACAGTGTAAACTCCTTGAGGTTTGGGCCATTTTTTTTTTTTTTGAAACGGAGTCTCATTCTGTCGCCCAGGCTAGAGTACAGTGGTGCAACCTCGGCTCACTGCAACCTCCATCTCCCAGGTTCAAGCAATTCTCATGCCTCAGCCTCCCAAGTAGCTGGGATTACAGGTACCCGCCACCACGCCCAGCTAATTTTTGTATTTTTAGTAGAGACAGGGTTTTACCATATTGGCCAGGCTAGTCTCAAACTCCTGACCTCAGGTGATCCGCATGCGTTGGCCTCCCAAAGTGCTGGGATTACAGGCATGAGCCACTGTGCCCAGCCCCAATATTTTCATCATCTTTGTATTCTCAGTTCCTGCCATCTGGTAGATGCTCTTTAATTATTGGCTGAATGAATGAACACACAAATGAAACTGATTTTAAGCCAGGCCATGAGCTGGGCACTAAAAACATATCTCTAGTAATACAAAGATCAAGGAGACATAGTTGGTTTCCCAGAATTGAGCCTTGTAAAGGAGAGACATTAAGTACACAATTACAGTATAATGCAATACAATGTAATGCCAAAATAGACATTCGGCAATTCATTCAGCAGTTATTTATTGAGTGTCAGCTATGTGCATGGCACTCTTCTAGGTGTTTGGGACCTATCAGTGAACAAAAGAGATAAAAATTCCTGCCCCATGAATTTTACAATCTGGCCATGTTACTTTTTGGCTTCATACTTTCCAATGTCATCCATTGTTTTTAGGACAAAGTCCAAAAATGGTCTTTCATACCCCAGACATAGTTCTTTACATTTTCAGGGGAGGGAAAGTGTCACAGACCCTGATGAAAGCTATGCACTCTCTCCTCAGAAAAATGCTCACACCTCCACTCACTAATCTAATTTGGCAGGCTGTTTGAGGAGCTACTAGACCTCCTGAGTATTTCCCAGTTAGAGTTATGACTCCTCAGGCCCTGGCTGTGCCTAGCCTCATATCTTGCTTCTCATACCTTGCTTCCTCTTGATTCTAAACCTTTGCACATGATGTTCCTTCTGCCTAAAATGTTCTTTCCCCTCCATTGCCTTCCCTTTTTGCCTAGTTGATTCCTACTCATTCTTCAGATCCCAGATTAAAAAAATTATTTCCTCAGAGAAATTCTCTCCATCCCACATAAGTTAGGTCTCCCAATCACAGAACTGTATAGAGTTCTAGGAGATTAGGAACATACATGTCTTGGTTACATTTGTATCACTATCTAGCAAGTGCCTTGACATAGTAAAGGTTCAATAAATACTTTTTGATGAATGAATTTTCAAAGAGCACTCTGCCTGCAGTGTAGAAATGTATTGGAGACATCAAGCAGATACAAGTGATGAGTCTGTTATAGTGGTAGACAGGTGATAACTTGCATGGCAGTGGAGATGGAGAGAAGTTAAAATTGAGAGATATATTTGGCAGGTAGAGTCAGGAGGATGGCCAATTGGATACCATGGTAAGAGAGAGATAGATGGGTCAATAATAACTTCCCAGTTTCTAGTTTGGCTAACTGCATGGATGGAGTTGCTGTTCTCTCAGGTCGAGAACAATGGGAGTTTTGAACCTGCTGAATTTGGAGTGCCTACAAAACCTTCGTGTGGACATGCTGAATCAGTGGCTATCTGTGGAAGTCTGAAATTCAGGAAAGAGGTCTGGGTTGGAGATGTAAATTTGAAAGTCATAAGCATACGGAGGATAACTAATGCCATGGGTGTGGAAGAGTTTGCTTATTGAAAGATCAGAGTGTGGGAAGGGAAAAGGATCAGGACATAGCCTAAAGAAATCTAACATTTAGAGATTAGTTAGAGGATGAGCCAACAAAGTAGACTGAGAAAGAGAGAGATAAAAGAAGACTAGCAGACTGTCATGTTGAGAAAGTCAGGGGAAGGGGGTTTTAAGAAGAGGGAGTGGAGAAATTAAAAGGTGGTGGTCAATAGTGTCAGGTGTTGCTGAGAGGGCAAGGAAGATGAGGACTCAAATATGTCCACTTGATTTCACCACATGGGGTTTACTTAGTGCATTGGATTGGTGAGGGTAGAAGTCACCTTGAAGTCATTTGAAGAGTGAATAAAAGACTAAAGAAATTGAGACAAGTACACAAAGTTTTATAGAAGTCCAGAGGGAGGGACCAACTCAGGCTGGGGAATTTAGAGAAGGCTCCTTAGAAGAGAGACATTGAGCTGGGTATTGAAGGAAGAGCAGCAGTTCACCAGACTGGAAATGGTGGTGGGAGCAGGGGGAGGTTATTCTAGGCAGAAAGTTCAATATGTTTAAAGACAATGAAACATGAAAAGACATGGAAAATATATGAGATGGTAGGAAATGTCCCTTTATTAGATTAGCTCTTATGGTTAGGTATTATGCATCCAACATACTCCTGTTAAAAATGTAAATTCCCCTGGAATTTTTACTTAATATTATGTTAGTGTAAGTGAATTTACCAAGTGGTCTCCAAGTGTCAGCCTACTAAAAGCAGAGCCTCACAGGCTTTGGAAAAAAGACAGATATGTTGTGACACAGGAAAGGCAGTTCAGGGCACGGTACTTGTTTTGCATGAGGAGGTAGACCTGCATGGGGAACCACGGGAGAGGGCAGCCCCAGGCAGCCAGGAAATACAGTGAGTTGTGTGCCTGGGGTGAGTGTAGTGAATTTTGCTCACTTCAAAATTATTTTTCAAGTCAGATCTGGCAAAATGTTTTCTCTTGAGAAAACCAGTCCTCACCAGTATAAATTTGTAGTTAAGTTTATGTCTAGAATCTTTGGATTTGGCAGTTTCCAGATCAAAGATTTCCATGGTTCAAAGGATCTATGTCCCTAAAAGTAAGTTATACCACTGATGTTAGTTTTGATTCCCTTAACATTTATATTTTTGGCACAATGAAAGGTAGATCAACAGTAATTATAAAATAAATGCTATTAACGTAAATGAAGTTTATGTTAACATTGTGATGAATAAGCAGTAAGAAAGCAAATGCTTTGAGAGAATACTTATGTCCAACACCAGTGGAGCTGTAAGCTTTCTTGATATGTTGGTACAGTAAAGGAAAGAAAGGAGTAAAACATGACAAAAATTATCCAAGTTTGTGGTAATGCCATTGACCAAGATTGGAAATAGAAGAAGTTGAGGGAGTGAGAGGTGGGAAAATGGTGGGGAAGATAGATGGAGAAATAATTGACTCTGTTTTTAAGATTCCGAATTAGATGTGAGATATCCAAATGAAGATGTTCACCAGGTGTTGACTATGTGAACTGGATCTAAGGATGGAGGAAATCACATCAAGAGCGCATTGGGAAGTGTCTCATGTTTTACTGGGACTTATGAGGGGTTTGCCCATTCAATTAATTTCTTTATCTTCTGTAGTTTGTGACCAGAGTTCTGGACCATGACTATCTCTACTTAGGAGGTAAATGTGTATTCTTCTTAGGCTCATAATCAGATATTTCCATTTATCTCCAAAAGTTGTTACATAAGTTCTTCCTTACTCCCTTCTCTAAGGCATCATATAACTTTAAAAGTTTTATAATTAATTCATTTATTTGATAAATTTTTTTTGGGCACCTTCTCTGTGCCAGACATTGTGTTAAACACTAAAGATACAAAGCTGATCAAGACACTTCATGTCCTCAAAGAAGGCCTGGTACGGGGAAACAAACAGGTTACAGAGGAAATGACAGAGTCATATATAGGGTACAGCAGGGGTTCCAAAAAGATCTTATCAGTTCTTTCTGGGGAGGCCTGGCAAGGCTTCAAAAGGGATATGAAGCTTGAACTAAGTAATGCAAGATGAGCAGACATTCACCAGGCAAACAGCATTAGGAAATGGGGTTGCAGATAACACATTTTAGACAGAAGGAGCACAGGTACAGGGATATAAAGCAGGATACCTCTGGGGAATTGGGTATAGCTCAATGGGGCTAACAGGAAGGGTGTGGGAGTGGTGGGCTGGGTCAGACAATGTCATTCTTTAAAGTTTGGACTTTGTAATGAGAGTCTGTAATGGAGAGCCCTGAAGGGTTCCAAGAGTAGGTCTGTTTTAGAAAGATCCCTATGGCAGCAGTGTGAAGGGTGGATTGGAGAGGAGTAAGACGAGAAGCAATGAGGCTACTTCAGAAAATGAATGATCTGAGCAAGACCAAAAGCCGCAGTGAAGTTAGAGGGAAAACATTAAAAGGATAGAGGGCTCAGGAGAGACAGAATGAGTGCCTGAACCTGAGCCCTACCATGACTTGATCATTAATTGGAATAAGCACAGGTATAGTAAAGGAAAGAAAGGAGTAAAACATGACAAAAATTACCCAAGTTTCTGGTAATGCCGGTGACCAAGATGGGAAATAGAAGTTGAGGGAGTAGGAGGTAGGAACATGGTAGGGAGGATGGATGAAGAAACAACTGACTCTGTTTTCAATATTCTGAATTGGAATGAGGTATCCAAATGAAGATGTCCACCAGGCATTGACTATGTGACCTGGAGCTAAGGATGAAGGAAATTGCATCAAGGGCACATATCTAAAGAAGTATTCACTTGGGACAAAAGAAAGGATATTACTTCTTCTGAGGTCCGAAGGAATGAGGTAAAATGGATACAGATATAGGTAAACATTTAAATATGAGAGCAGAAAGTTGAATGATTTATGTTTGATGGCCTTAATTATTTCTATGAAGTAGAGTTTAGGTCATCTGCTTAGAAAGGGAGTAAATTGGTCTTGGGTGGCACTTAAAACACTTAAGTGGTAAAAGTATAGAATGGTCATTTGGACAATGGGAAAAGCAGTTGATCATAGATTTGTAAAAATAATGTAGAGTTTTACTTAGGATCCAGATAGCTTTAAGACATATTACCTTCAAATGAAACATTTGAATGCTTACAACAGACTATATACTAAAAAATCACATATGTTATGTCATTTATTCCTCACAATAACTGTGTGTGATGGGAGGGGGAGTGGTTATTCCTCTTGTACAGATGTAGAAACTGAAGCTCAGAGAAGTGAAATGACTTATCTAGTTCACACATTTAGTAAGTGCAAGTTTTGAACCCAAGTCTTCTGATTTCAAGTTTAGTGCTCCTTATAATTTGTTTCTTCAACCCAAAGGGGAAAACAAGGTAAAAAATTATAGAAGAGACTATAAGAATTCTTCGTGGGGCCCTTAAGTTTCTATTTGGGGTTGATCTTTCCTTGGGCACAGCCTATTGGGACTTCAAACTAAACACAGCCAAAGTCAAATTTATTGTTTTTCCTTTGTAACCAATTTTTCCTCATGACTCTACAATTTCTGTAAATCATCATTTCCTAGTCATCAAAGGTGGAAAACAGTCACCTTAGATTCATCCCTCGTCTCCTAATGCCTACACAATGTTCTTGTAATGAGTAAATGGAATAGCACAGATAGAGCACTTGGTATAACCTCTCACATGTGCAAGTCATTCAGTGACTGACAGTTATCATAATTCCTACTGCCACAGGAATCCCTAACTCCAGGCAAATTGGATATTTGTGGTACACTAAAAAATGAGCCCCCAAAGATGTTCATGTCCTAAATTCTGCAGCCTGTGAATGTGACCTTACATGGCAAAAATATAAAAGGGGGGCGTCTCTACAGATGTAATAAAGGATCTTGAAATGGAGAGTTCTTCTTAATTATGCAGGTGGACCCTAAATGTAATCAGATGTATCCTTGTAAGACAGAGGCAATGGGAGATGTGAACACAGACAGAAGAGAAGACAATGTGACAATAGGGTCAGAGACTGCTGTGACCAGGAATGCCAGCAGCTACTAGAAGCTGGACGAGGCAAAGAATAGAACTTCTCTTAGAGCCCCCAGAGGGAGTGTGGCTCTGCTGACATCTTGATTTCAGACCACTCATATTGCTTTTGGACTTCTGGCATCCAGAATTGTGAGAGAATACATTTTTGTTGTTTTAGCCACCAAACTTGTAATTTGTTACAGCAACCAAGGGAGCTAATCCTCCAAACATACCACATTCTTTTCCCTCTTCTCTATTTCCTCTAGATTTAAGAAAACAGAAATCTTCCATTACTTTCTTTCTTTTAAATTTTGAATAATTCCTTCAAGGCCAATTTCTAGTAGTACTTCATCCACAAAGCCTCTCTTGCTCCTTTAATTTGACATGAACTTTCTTTCTAATGAATATCCACACTACATTTTTGTAATTGAACGTTTCTGACAACAGAAATATTTGTAAACAAATTGTCTTATACTTGGATTGGATTTTTATTTAGGAATTAATGTGTATTAATTTTATGGCCTTTTGCCTCTCTGCAATGCTTTACACAATGTCTTTCACACAGTAGGTATCAATAATTCTTTGCTACACTACCTCTACTACTTACAAAAGTGTTCAGTTACACATTTATTCATACATTCAAAAGCCGTACTGTCTAATATGATAGCTATTAGCTACATGTGGCCATTTACATTTAATCAAAATGAAATAAAACTTAAAATTTACTTCCTCAGTTGCATTAGCCACATTTCTGGTGCTCAATAGCCACATGTGGTAAGTGGCTACCTATTTGACATCACAGATACAGAACATTTTTATTATCATGGAAAGTTCTATTGGACAGAGCTATTCTACATGGCAATCTTGAATATTATACAAGTAAATAGAAAATTTCTTAGGGATTATGGTGATAATAGGAATATAGATACTAGAAATAATGTTTCCTCAAAACACAAAGGCATATTATTATAAAAATAAGTTTCCCAAGATTAATTCATCAAATAAATGTAATCTCAATCAAAATTCCAATAATATGTCTGTTGGAACTTGTTAGGCTGATTCTAATAGTCATCTGAAAGAGAAAATATATGGGAAAACCTTAAAAAGAATAATGAAAAAGAAGAATAATGAGGGGAATAATAATAATAAAGAGAATAAAAAAAGAAGAAGAATGAAGAATAAAGAAAAAGAATAATAATAATAAAAATAAAGGGAATAAACAAAAAGAAGAAGAATGAGGGGAAACAGTTACCCTACCAGATATCAAAAGCTACTATAAAATAAAGGTAATTAAAAATTATATCACAAGAGTAGATATATGGATCAGTGAAATAGAAGAGAAAAATCTAAAAACAAACCTATGCTATGGTTTATGAAAAAGGTGGCATTTCAATTACCAGGGAATTGGCAGACTATTCAGGTGGTACCAATAAAATGGGAAAAAGTTATCATACTGGGGGAAATATCCCAGCTAACTTAAGGAAACAAATATGTAAACCCAAACTACAAATCTATTAAAACAAAATATAGAAAAAAATTATTTATAACTTTAGCATTGGGAAGACCCTCTTAAGCAACATATAAAATGTATAAAATGATGAGACCATGGAAAGACATCTGCATTCATAGATTGAAAGACAATATGGTTAAGATGTCAATACTACCCAAAGCAATCTACAGACTCAACACAACCTTTCTCAAAATCCCAATAAAATTTTTTGCAGAGATAGAAAAACCCATTCTAAAATTTATATGGGATCTCAAGGATCTCCAAATGACCAAAACAATCTTGAATAAGAAAAACAAAGTTGGAGGTCTCACATTTCCTGATTTCAAAGCTTACTACAAACCTACAGTAATCAAAACAGTGTGGTACTGGCATAAAGACAGGCATATAGACCAATGGAGTAGAGTAAAGAGCCCAGAAATAAACCCTCATGTATATGGTCAAATGATTTTCAATGAGGAAAGATAGTCTTTTCAACAAACGCTGTTAAGAAAATGGAATATCCATATGCAAAAGAATGAAGTTAGACCTTTATCTTAGATCATACACAAAAGTTAACTCAGAAAGGATCAAAGACCTAAACCTAAGAGCCAAAACAAGAAAACATAGGGAAAATCATCATAACATTGGAATTAACAAGGATTTCTTAGATATGACACAAAAAACAAAGGCAAAAGAAAAAATAGGTAAATTGGACTTCAAAATTTAAAACTTTTGTGCATCAAAGGATGCTATTATCAAGAAGGCAACCCATGGAATGAGAGAAAATATTTGCAAATCATTTATCTAATAATGGGTTAATGTCCAAAATGTATGAAGCATTCCTACAACTCAACAACAACAAAACAACCTGATTTTAGTGGGTATGGTGGCTCACACTTGTAATCCCAGCTACTCAGGAGGCTGAGGCAGGAGGATCGCCTGAGCCCAGGAGTTTGGGACCAGCCTGGGCAACATAGTGAGACGCTGTCTCTTAAAATACAAACCAGCAAAAAAACAAACAAAATCCTGAGTTTAAGATGGGCAAAGGACTTGAAGAGACATTTCTCTAAATAAGATATGCAATTAGCCAATAAGCACATGAAAAGATGCTCAATATCACTATCATCAGAGATGCAAATTAAAGCCACAAAGATATACCACTTCATACTCATTATAATAGTTATTAGTAAAAAATAAAACAGAAAATAACAAGTTGGGGATGCTGTGAAGAAACTGGAACCCTTGTGCATTGCTGGTAGAAATGTTAAATGGTGCAGCTGCTATGGAAAATAGTAGGGCAGTTCTTCAAAAAATTAAAAATAGAATTACCATATTATCCAGCAATTCCACTGCTGGGTACATATCCAAAAGGACTGAAAGCAGGAACTTGAACAAATATTTGTACACCCATGTTCATAGCAGCGTTATTCACAATAACCAAAAGGTAGAAGCAACCCACCTGTCCATCAATAGATGAATGGATAAACAAAATATGGTATATACATACAATGGAATATTATTCAGCTTTAAAAGGAAAGATATTCTGATACATGCTCAAACATGGATGAACCTTGAGGACATTATGCTAAGTGAAATAAGCCAGTCAAAAAAGAACAAATATTATATAATTCCACTTGTGTAAGGTATATAGAGTAGTCAAATTAATAGAGACAGAAAATAGAATGATGATTGCCAGGGACTATGGGGAGAGGGAGATGAGGAATTATTGTTTAATGGGTATAGAGTTTCAGTTTGGGAAGATGAAGAAACTTCTGGAAATGGATAACGGTGACAGTTGCACAACAATGTGAATACACTTAATGCCACTGAACTGTATCCTTAAAAATCGTTAAAATGGCAAATTATATATTATGTATATTTTACCACAATAACAAACCAACACAAAAATAAAAATAAAAATAAAAATAAAAGTCAGCACATGGCCGGGCGTGGTGGTTCATGCCTGTAATCCCAGAATTTTGGGAGGCTGAGGCAGGTGGATTACTTGAGCTCAGTGGTTTGAGAACAGCCTGGGCAACATGGAGAAACTTCATCTCTACAAAAAATACAAAAAATTAGCTGGGCGTGGTGGTACATGCCTGTAATCCCAGCTACTCAGAAGGCTGATGTGGCAGAAGATTGCTTGTGCCCAGGAGGCAGAGGTTGAGGTGAGCCAAGATTGTGCCACTGCACTGTGGCCTGGGCAACAGAGTGAGACCCTGTCTCAAAAAAACAAAAAAAGAAAAGAAAATCAGCACATGATTTATAAAAATGACAAAACCATAAAAAATAAGCATCTTTTCTGAGGTAATACAATCTTTGAACAGGACTATATCCAGATAATCAAAAACTTCAAATATCTTCTGGCCCCCTAGGTGTCTATCCTAGAGAAATGCTCCCATATATGCACAAAGAGTCATGTTCAAGGACATTCCTGAAGCAATGTTCCTAAGAAAAAGTAAAAACTTAAATGTTCATCAATATAAAAAACTTGAAATAAACCTAGAACACTTTAATACTAAGGATTACTATGCCACAGTTAAAAAGAATGAGGTTCATTTAAGTATACTAATAGGGAAAAATCTGTAAGACGTATGTTAAGTGAAAAAAGTAAGTTTAAAAAAAGGACAATATTATTGCATTTGTGATTTTAAGATGTCCACAAATCGCCAGGCGTGGTGGCTCACGCCTGTAATCCCAACACTTTGGGAGGCTGAGGCGGGTGGATCACTTGAGGTCAGGAGTTCAAGACCAGCCTGGCCAACAAGGTAAAACCCTGTCTCTACAAAAATACCAAAATTAGCCAGGCATGATGGTGGGTGCCTGTAATCCCAGCTACTCTAGAGGCTGAGGCAGGAGAATTGCTTGAACCTGGGAGGCAGAGGTTGCAGTGAGCCGAGATTGCGCCACTGCACTCCAGCCTGGGCGACAGAGCAAGACTCTGTCTCAAAAAAAAAAAAAAAAAAAGATGTCCACAAATCAAATGTTTGCATGTATATACCTATATACAGTACTGCCTAATAGAAATAGAATGCAAGACACAATTACACACCAAATAATTTTAAATTTGAACCATATTTTAAAAAGTAAGAAGAAACGATGAAATTAAAATTTAACATTTAATTTAACCCAATATATTAAAAACTATCATTTTAATATGTGAATATTAAAATGATGGAGATATTTTACGTTCTTTTTTTGTAGTACGTCCTCACAATCCAGCGTATATTTTATACCTACATTTCAATTCAAACTAGCCACATTTCAAGTACTCAATAGCCACATGTGGCTAGTGGCTGCTGTATTAAACAACATATCGTGTGTGTGTGTGTGTGTGTGTGTGTGTGTGTATTTTGAGACGGGGTCTCACTCTGTCACCTAGGCTGGGGTGCAGTGGTGCCATCCATGGCTTACTGCAACCTTGACCTCCCCATCTCAGGTAATCCTCCCACCTCAGCCTCCTGAGTACCTGGGACTACAGGCACACATCACCACGCCCAGCTAATTTTTGTATTTTTGGTAGAGACGGGTTTTCACCATGTTGCCCACGCTGGTCTCAAACTGCTGGGCTAAAGTTATCGGCCCACCCCAGCCTCCCAAAGTGCTGGGACTACAGATGTGAGCCACCATGCCCACCCTGTGTGTGTATTTTAAATGCAAAGGAAAAGGCATGGAATATCCTTATTGGCAGTTTTTGAACTATCTATGAGAATGTATTCATGTGTAAATTGTATTAAATATAATTAAACTTAAAAATATGAAGTTTCATATCAGTGTGTTTATTGTTTAAATTGTGTTTTCTATTACTTGACACGGTTATAATAATCAACATTTTTATTACTTTAATCTCTTTTATCCCCTTTATTTCAAAGTGATAAAAAATGTTAGTGTAAAAATCTTTTTATTTGCAATCTTGCTTTATTTGCAAAGGTAAAAAAGAACATTTAAAAAAATAATGTTTATTAGGCTTTTAAAAATTATAAAATATTCTAAAATATTATTAAATACTTTTCAATAGAAAAATGTCAGTTACTTTCTTACTTTCAAATGCCTGAGTAAATAATTATGAATTCCGTGGTAGTTAAAGGTGGATACATTAAATACATAAACACGCTCAAGCACATACTTGAAGTAATTATAAAAATGAAAAAGTTGTTTCTTGGTTTGTGGCATGAATAGAGGAAATTTACAGGCAATGACATGATGGTGTCATTAGATGTACTAAAGTTTGACATACATTTGCTGATTCTTCAAAAAAGAGATGAACAGATAATAGATACAGAATTGGAAATGCAATACCCTGCTTCTCACAGACTTGCTATGTAGGTCATTTGCTTGAACATGAGCCTCTATAAGTGCTTTAGCAGGTGTTGAGAGGAACATAGCATAACTGTAAGTACAGAAATGACTATAGAGATAGGTCCTATAAAATATCAGAAAAAGACCACTTTGGTATGAAAATTGTCTAAGATGGAAGATCTCTATTGGTGCAATATCTAAACCTCAGGTCATAACTGCCTACTCTTGCTGGCAGGAAGGAGAGACCAAAGTAGATAACACTTAGGAACTCTGGCCTCCCCAGTAAAGTTCCTCCACACAAGGCAGAGGCAGAGTTGCAAGATACAGTCACTAAGAAGTCAGATTTTCACTTTAAATTGGCCCTAAATTCAATTGAAGAGAAATAGAAAACCCCTAAAGTGAAGTAGTTGAGTGTTCAGAGTGAGGATAAGTTTTATATAAGGAGCATGCACCTAAACTTAATTTTCATATTATTTATGCAGGAAATGATGAAACATTTTCAAAATTTCTAACACAAAATGAGAATAATCATACCTCTCCTCTTCCTGATCTAGCTTTGAAAAAATATATTCAAACACTTTGTTGTAATTAACAGAATTTTCTACAGCATCAATTTAGTTCAACTATAGTTATTTAATTGCTTCCATTTTTGTTAGTTTTATGTATCTATTTCAATAGCTAATACATTTACATAATATGCAATTCAAAAGGTAATATAAAGGTATATAGTGAAACTTTCCCTGCTATCCCAGAACCATTCAAGTCCCCTTCTAAAAGACAATCACTGTTACTAGTTTCTTTTACATCCTTGCAAAAACCATCTGTACTGTTGTCATTTCAAAATCAACTGCATCACTAAAAACTTAAAACTGGAATAAAATTCATGATATCACCCTCTTCAAGTTGTTTTATTAAATCTGGGCCAGGCCTGGCCACAGTAAGAGTAAATGAGGAAATGGAGGGTTGTGACCAAGTAACAGAACTAACTGCAGGGCCACTCTTGGTCTTTTACGGAGGTGAGCTTTCTTCCCATTCCTCCAGTTATTCTCCCCATCTAGAGAATACATATTTTCCTCCTGACTAAAGAAAATGAAAGAAAACCAAAGAATGGAAAGGTAAAAGAGGAGGGTCAGACAAGCAGAAGATTCAAGGCACCATGCTAAGTGCTATGGTGGTGATAAGGGCAGGGCACAGTGGCAGCAGGACAGCAGGGATGGGCAGTAGAGTTCAAGGTAGTAAGGAACACAGATATGTAAACAACAAACTCTAACTAACATCCAACACAGGTAGGATGAAGTCAGGGCTAAATAAAGGTACAAGCAGTAGGCTGTAAGAATGTGGATGGAAAAGAAGAATGGAGAGAGGGACTTCATGTCAGCTGGCTGAGCATGTCTGACAAGCTTCTTTTCAGAGTGCACACATTTTCCCTGACTCATGAAAACTTAGAGCTGGGAGAATGCCAGAGCAGTGTGCTGAAGCTCAGTCAGTAAGGAAGTCTTTTGGAAACAACATGGAGAGGAAAAAACTAAGGACCTTGCATATACACAAAAAAATAGGAAAAATAATAAAAGCCCTCCTGCAGCTCACAACTGGTCTTCAGTAGTGAATCAGAAAAAAAAAATGAGCATTTTCAAAAGCTTTACTATTTACTTAAAATCAGGGCTGCCAGGCGTTGCTCAACCCCAGGGGTGTCATTCACATTTCTGTCTGTGTTTTAGGTATCCCTGGAATTATGCAGTACACAATCAGCACAGTCATGCATGGCAACCCTGATAGGGCAAACATTCGATTTTTGACTAACACTTTTTAAATTTCCCTATCACTAAGTTTTTACCTGAAATACAGGGTATCCCTTTTGGCTAATATTTCCTATGAAAGATAAACCAAACATTTGGAATATACAAATATGTTTTCTTAAAAACTCAAGGTTGTTGAGTATAAACTGCAGCAAATCTATTACAGAATATGGCTAGATTATATACCTAAAGCATGACATAATATACATATTTTCCAACCTATAAAGATTTTCCGTGATGTGGTAGGGCTTCTCAGTTTCAAATTAAGCACTATTTACTTAGAAATGTAGGGCTAGTTCGAATCTAGCTGGGCCAGAGAGCAGAGTGAAACAGTATTATGGCAGGGCATATGGTACATTTTTATTCTGAGGGCTTTCAAAATTCAATGATTAAGAGTTGAAACTCTCCGCCTTATTTTAGGAGAACTTTTCTAATTTTTCCGCATTGTCTCTCATTTCACTGGCATCATTCTAATTCAGTGAAGCTACAGATGTCCACCAATTTGAAAAACATGACAGTAGTTCATATAAAAGAATTTTAAAATGAGATGTGAAATTGATTTTTTGTGACTAAAGTTTTACCACTACAGGGGCAGGCGCAGTGGCTCATGCCTGTAATACCAGAACTTTTGGAGGCCGAGGTGTGCAGATTGCTTGAGCTCAGGAGTTTGAGATCAACCTGGGCAACATGGTGAAACCCCATCTCTACCAAAAATACAAAAATCAGCCAAGAGCGGTGGCGTGCGCTTGTGGTTCCAGCTCCTTGGAAGCCTGGGGTGGGAGGATCGCGGGAGCCCAGGAAGTCAAAGCTGCAGTGAGCTGTGGATCATGTCACTGCATTCCAGCCTGGGTGACAGAGCAAGACCCTGGAAAGAAAGAAAGAAAGAGAAAGAGAGAAGGGGAGGGGGAAAGAGATAGAGAGAGACAGGAAGGGAGGAAGGGAGGAAGGGAGGGAGGGAGGGACGGAGGGAGGGAGGGAAGGAAGGAAGGAGAAGGGGAAGGGGAAGGGAGGGGAGGGGAGGGAGGAAGGAAGGAAGGAAAAGGAAAAGGAGAGAAAGAAAAAGAAAGAAGGAAAGAAAGAAAAGAAAAAAGAAAAGAAAAGAAAGAAAGAAAGGAAAGAAAGAGTGAGCAAGCTATACCACTACAGTTCATAATTCCTGGTTTTAATAATCCTGATTAGGAAGGGTCTAACCAAGTGAAATCAAGAAATATTTGTCATCCTTAGATATGGCTGTGTTTTATTCTCTTCCTTATGCTTTGTATAGTTGTTGATTATGTAGGAACCAAACTTTTAAGTTTTGTTTTTGTTTTTTTTTTACTTTGTGGATATGAAGCTAACTCCTGGTGATTTTTAGAAGTTACCCACATTTTCCTCTTTTGTGGAAATATTTACACTGGGGATTTCCACTGAGAGAATTGAGGGAGCTCTTTTATTTTTATTTTTATTGGATATAACAACTGAGGCCATATTTCTATTAATGCCTCTTTTTTTTTCTTTGCCCTACTCTAGGAGAGTGTTTATACACTTAAGAATTAAATCTAACAGGTTCACATGGAATATTACATATGTGTTAATATATGTAAAACAAGATCATATATTTGAAAATGTTTGATATAATATCTGGTACATGTTAATAATTCAACACAAATTGGTTGTATTTAGTTGAACATTACCTAATTTTGGTGAAAATGTGATTGCTATAAATGAAATGTGCTCTAAGCTGGCATGGTGAATTTTTTTAAAAAATCTAATTTCTTTTAGGTTATGAGAAGTATAAGGGATCTCTGAGTGACAAGTGAAATTACATATTCAATACCGAAGTCTTTCACTTCAAATCTCAGTTACAAACTTCTAGTGTTCCCATAAATGCAACAGTGGAAGAGAAATATGCTTGAACATGCTTGACTTACAATGAAGAAGAAAAAGAGGATCACAGAAGCTAGAGACACTGAAAACTGAAATGCATACAAGCCAAGACATCCTCTTAAATCCCACCCAAGAAGCAATGAATAGCTTGAAAAAGTATTCGTCTGACTTTTTTTATGGTATAGTGCATAGACTAAGAACCAGGGGGCTGGGTTCCATCACCAACTTGCAAGTTTCCATCACTGTTAAAAAAAAAAAAAGGGAGGGGGATAATATTTGCCATGTACCAAACAGGGATGCTTTGAGGATTAGTGACATAATGTCTGTAAAGAGGCTGGAGTTCCTTGGAAAAAAGACACTACATAAATATAAAGTAGTATTAATATTTAGGCTTAGTCCACAATGTGAGACCTGGTTTCTTTGGCTCATGAGGTCATCAGCAGTTTTGTAAAATGTGCTCAAACACCCACAGAGGAGCTTTGTTAGTCTCCTTGTAAGTGGACTGTAAAGCTAATCTGACCCACCTGGTTGGAGAAGTCACAGAGGCTGTTTTCCCTTTCATGGTCTCCAAGAGGATACAGATGGAGAGTGCTGACTCCTAAAGGAGTGAGATGTGGCCAAGAGAGCACTTCAACAGCATCTACAGCTTCCAAGGAATGTAGTGGGAGTTTGGGTATATTTTGGCTTAGAATTAAACAAAAGCCCAATAATAACATATCTTAATTTAGAAAAAAGGCTAAATTTGCCTCTCAGACAATTTAGAGTAACAGTAGGAATGAAAAAGCTACTTCTTGGAATGGTTAGTTTATATCTTGAAGAGGTTTGGAGGCAAACTTGAATATTTTTGTCCTGGGAAAGTTGTAGTCTGCAGCAGTTTAGTCTCTTTGATGACAACGCCCTGACTCTTCGTCAGTGCTTTTATTGCTGTGAAAAGATTATCAAGGACAATCTTGCAGAGGTTTTAGTTCTAAAGTTTCAAGGGACAATCAATTCAATGTAGATATTGCCTTGCAAAATCTTGTGGTATGACTGAATGACAGTAATGTTATTGTGACTAAATATTTTCATTTCTCAGTTTTAAAAGATACAATTAATTTTGATCCAAGGGCGTCAGGCATCAGAAACTACCCTGTTCAAAATGTAAGGTTCATGAACTTATTAATCATTAGCACTTAACAGTGATTCCGAGACTGTGTCCATAATACCAAAGCATTTGAACAAAAGATGAAAAAATGTGAAGAAATCTTTCTTTTTTTATCTGGTTGTTTTGTTTCTACATTCATTTAGGTTAGGTGTTCTTTCAAAAATGATTTGGCTCTTGGTCCACTGATTGCTACAGTATTTAAGGCAGATGAATACTAATAATATATGCTTTTTTAGGTCAAAGGGAACAGAAATGTTACAGCCTTCTCAACTCATAGTGAAAGCTACACTAGGTAGGAAGCATTTTCTAAATAAAATATGGTCTTACTTCTTCCTTTTCCCAATTCTTGAGAAACAGCTCAATCCTAAAGCCAATGTCAGGTGGGGCAGAGCAAGCTAAGCATCTGTATCAGAGCCTGTGCAGTGTGAGGAGGGCAACCATGTGGAGGGCGAGCATGGCTTGGGGAGTCAGTGCCAAATGGAGTAACGAGGGCATCACAAGTGTGGGTGACCCACAGTGGGAATGCCAGAGTTGGAGCCTGAGCAGGGTAAGCAGGGTCATCTACATGGGGAAAAGGCCCAAGGCAGAGTGTCAAAGCTTGAGCAGGGTGAGGAGGCAGTCTGGGGAGTAGAGTCAAGAGTCCTAGAGGTGTGATATGGGTGTCTATATGTGTACAAGGAAGGTGGCAAAGATGGGAGTTTGGTTACATTTAAGGGAACTGATCAAATAAATTAATAAGCTAATGATAATGGCAGCCAGTTCTCTCACTGATGGAGAAAAATTACAAATATAGAAAGTGATAAAGCTAGAATGAATTCTACAGCATTGGATTGGCATTGATGGTATAGGTGTGAAATCATGGGTTTTCATATAGATACATAAATATAGATGTGTGTGTGTGTGTGTGTTGTGTACATACATATATTCTCTAGTTCTGTCCACTGAGAGAAACCACATTGTGGCTATTAGAAGGAACCACTGAAAAACCAGGGATCCTTGAAGAAATGGCTGATTCCAGGACTGGAACAGGGAAAACACAAGACGAGTCTGGAACAGCTTGTAACAGGATGTAAGGAAGTGCTTAATTAGAGGGACATGTCAAAGAATACAAGAGCCAACTTGAAGAGGCTCCCACTGGCAACATCTTAGAGAATATGAGCATCAAAATAAATAATGATAGTAACAGATAAAATAAAGACCCATGAGTCCATACTGATATAAATAAGTGAATAAATGGGAAGTTTGATGAGGATCAGGATAACTTACATAGTTGCTAAGTACTCTTCTATAAACTACTTATTAATTACAAAGGGGAAAATAACTTTACAGTGGAGAAGGCTGGCAGACACCACCTTAATCAAGTGACCAAATAAAACATAATTGAAATGGGACAAATCAAAATCATGTGCCACCTGAAGGAAGTAAAGATTACTCAGCACCAATTCTGTGATATTCCTTCTTTCTTTCTTTCTTTTTTTTTTTTTTTTAAAAAAAGCAAGGTCTCACTTTGTCACCCAGGCTGGAGTGTAGTGGTGTGAACATAGCTCTCACTGCAACCTTAAAACTGTTGGGTTCAAGTGATCCTCTTGCCTCAGCCTCTGGAGTAACTAGGACTACAGACACGTGCCACCACACCCAGCTAACTTTTTAAAAAGTTTTAGGAGATGCAGGTCTTGCTGTGTGACCCGGGCTGGTCTTGAACTCCTGGCCTCAGGTGATCCTTCTGCCTCAGTTTCCAAAAGTGCTGGGATAACAAGCATAATCCACCATGCCCAGCCCTATGTTATTCTTTAAAAAGATGCATACCCTGAATCTAATCTTGAGGAAACATCAGACAAATGCAAATTGAAGGACATTCTAAAAAATAAGTGGCCTGTTCTATTAAAACATGTCAAGGTCATGAAAGTCAAGGAAGGACTGAGGACCTGTTCCAAGCTAAGGGAAGCTAAAGAAATTTAACTAAATACAACACATGATTCTAACCTGGATCCTTTTGCCATAATGGATATTACTGGGACAACTGGAAAAACTTGAAAGGAATCTGAGGGTTAGATGACAGTAATGAATCAAAGCTGATTCCTCAGTTTTGATGGTTATATTGTGAATATATAGGAGAATATCCTTGCCTATAGGAATTACATAGTACAGTATACAGGAGTGATAAAGCAAATGGCTCAGAAAATAAAACATGATTTGTGTGTACTTGCAGGTTTTCTGTAAGCTTGAGATTATTTCAAAATAAAAATAAACTTATACAAAAATGTAGATTTTAGAAATAAGTTTTTCCTGTTAATACAATACATATTTTAGTGACAAATATTGTGGAAACTGAAAACACTTATTCTTTTCTAACCTATCTAGTGACTATTCTGAAATGTGTCCATGTGTAAGTGAGGTGTCAAAAAGCTTAGCTTTTTGTAGAAACAGAAAGAAGGCCAGAGAAAATAGAGACGAGGAAGTAAGGGGAAATTGAAAGAAGGTAAGGTCAGAGCCTTGGGCTAGAGCAGATCAGGTATGGCCTTAAAAGCCATAAACAGTGAAGTGACATGAATAGATTGACATCTTTAGAGATGCTTTGGTGAAATAAACTGTGCAAGGGCAAAAATGAAAGCAAGGAGACCACTGGAGAGGTACTGTTTGCTTGGGCCAGAGTGGTAGCAGTGAGATAGTGAGAAGTGGCCAGATTTGAAATATATTTTGAATGGAAAGCTCACTAGACTCACTGATGGACTGGATATAGGTTTTGAGGGAGAAGAACTAAAGATGGCTTTTAGGTTTGAAGCAACTAAGTAAATGATAGTGTCGTTTACTGAGATGGGAAAGACTGAGAAAGTGACTAATGATAGGAAAGTGATAAGAATTATGGCTTGAATAGTAAAGTGGTGGTGATAAAAGCTTGATTAAAGTGGGTTAAAGAGAACAGAAAGCAGGGAATTGGACACAGGAAGCATAGACAATTCTCTTGCAAAATGGATATGATTTGGGCCAATGGAAAGAAAGGCATTCTGGACAAGAGAAAATACACTTGTTAAGATATGGGGGAAGAAATGAACTTGGCCAGTTCTTGTGACAGTGAGAAAACTGACCTAACTCAAGGAAGGGGAAGATGTTGGGTAATAAGACAGATAAGGTGGAGCCAGGCTACAAGCAGCCCGAAAGCCAAGAAAAGGTGTTTAGACTTGATGCTGGAAATAAGACTCATGAGATATTTTTGATTAGGGAAGCGATAGAATAAAAGTCATATTTAAATAACAGTAGATGGCAGTGGTATCTAGGATCCAGGAGGCTGTGGGAGAGCCTCAAGGCTGTGGTAGTAATTCAGATAGGAGAGGATGAAGGTCTGGACTTGAGTTTTGGCAGTAAGAACAGGCTGGAAAGGGAAGGCTTAGGGGAATTCTGATACTTGACTAAATGAGGATAATGCAGGAGAATGATTTCAAGATTCTGAACTTAAGACACTGAGATAAAGGTGGTGCTGAGATGGGGGGAAACTGGGTAGAGAAACTTGTTCTATGTGTGGAAAAGGGAAGGCAGTGGTGAATAAAAAGACGAGCATACTGGATTTGACATGACAGTGTTAACTCAAAGCACAAATGCCCGAAAGAAGGTTAAAGATATAGAACTGGAGCTCTTGGGGATGATCAGGGCTCAAGATAACACATATGGAAGTCGACAGCATACACGTGATGCTTGAAACCCTGAGAATGGATGAATCTTCCAAAGGAAAGCACATAGAGCTAGAAGAGCATATGATCAAAGATTTTGGGGGATGTTTGGGGATGCCCACAATTAGAGGTGGAAGAAAGAACAAAAGCAAAAGAGGGAAGTGGATGGAAAAAAGATGAGAACAGATGGAAAAAGAATGAGAAGTATATCATAGAAATAAGAAGGACTGTTTTAAAATGAGTATATCATCAATATAAAAAAGATCAAGGTTGGGTGTGATGGTTCACACTTGTAATCCCAACACTTTGAGAGGGTGAGGTGGGAGGATTGCTTGAGCCCAGGAGTTCAAGACCAGCCTGGGCAACATAACAAGGCCTAGTCTCTACAAAAATTTTTAAACATAATTAGTCATGCGTGGTGGTACACAAATGTAGTCCCAGCTTCTTGGGAGGCTGAGTCAGGAGGACTGCTTGGGCCCAGGAGTCCAAGTCCAGCCTAAGCAATAAAGCAAGATGCTATTTCTACAAAAAATCATTAGCCAGGCATGGTGGCACAAACCTGGGTTCCAGCTACTTGGGAGGCTGGGGCAGGAGGATTGTTTGAGCCCAGGAGTTCAAAGCTGCAGTGAGCTATGATTGTACCACTGCACTCCAGCCTGGGCAACAGAGCGAGACTGTTTCTAAAAAATAAAATAAAATAAAAATAGACCAAGAAGAATGAAAAAGGAACAGAGACTCTAAGTTCTATTAATTAGGAAGTCATTGTTTATTTTGAAGAGAGTAGTTGGGGAAGTGAAGGTGGGGGAAGAAGCCAGCTTTCTGCATGGAAAAACTGGTAAGGGGGGTACAGCAAATAGAAAGCATCTTGTGAGAAATTTGGTAAGGAAAGGAAGCAAACAGGTAACTAGAAGCATCATCAGGATTATCTGAAGGCTTTTATTTCTACCTAATGTTTAGACCAGCTTCATTCAAATTTTTCTCCTTTCTTACTCTGACAATTTCAAAGTCTTACTTTTGAACAAAGTCAGGATAATGACACAAAGCATCCAAAACCAAGTGGAAGAATTTGATCTCTCTGTGTGTTCTTATCAATTCCTATGAAAGTATCTATGTCATCTTTCAAACTATCTTTTATTAATATTTTTTTTCCTAAACTGAGACTAGTGATGTTCTGGCAACCTCTAAAAAGATATAATATGAGTAAGAAATTTTAAAACATGCAAATATTTTCAGATAATGTCATTTATTATCTCCAATGGTCTTCAACACAGCTGAGGGGTTTATTTCCAAGTGGAGGACTATGAGCTAATATTCCTTACTGAGGCCATTTATACTTAAATTCTTCAAATATAGTTTTATAGTATTTTTATAGTATTAGGAAGTATTTTTCATGTTGAAATTCTTAAGCAATACTTTACCAATTCTCAGAAATCCTGTATGAATTAAAGTAGTATTATATTTATACTTCAGACCAAAATGTTTAAAGAAAACTGCATTGCTTGTCCTATAAACTAACTCTTGACATATTTATGTTTTTATAAATATGTTTACCGACTTCTGGATAAAGATGGCAGATTGACACACACATTTATTTTGTTTCCTCCAAAAACCCCTCTAGAATGACAGGAAAAGACATTTCTTTAAAAGGCAGAAATGCAAACAAACAAACAAACAGAAAGAAAGAACAAGCGAAAAGACAGTGACAATGAAATTTTGGAAGCCAGGAAGCAGATGCAAGATAAATAACTAAAATAGCAGACCCAAGAAACCTAAACCAGCAGTGGACCAAACCGAGGACCAGTCAAATGCACGTCATTCTAAATAATTTCCAGCATCAGATACTTTTGGAAGAGGAGATAGAGAGGGTAGGTAGAGGAGCTAAAATAAGAAAGACCAACTGAAACACATTTATGAAACAGTTGGAATCTTCAGATTCCCTCCCCAGTTTTGCAGGGCCAAACAGTTGTTCCTCTTCCACCCTAGGATAAAATCAGAGGTTTATTCTCTATAGAGGGTAATAGAAAGTCTTTGGATAATGGAATACAAAGTGCAGTTGAGGCAGGATTATGGTACTGGAATCAAGGAATTAAGTGAAAGCATGTATACTGAATGCCTGAATGCAGAGACCCTCAGTCCTCTATCTCTATTTGGGCCCCAAAACACTGTTGGCTAGCCTGCATGCTGGGGAAACTGATCAAGAGGAAAGATTTTAAAATACAGATTTTGGGACTTCTCCCAAAGGCTTGTACAGGTCTTCTATTAAAATAATGAAGGCCACAATCAGCAAGCCTCATCCACAAGCTCAGAGATTCATAGTTCCCCCACTCTTTAATGTGAGCAGACAACCAAGGTCTGCCAGTCATCTGAGGACTTCTAAGGAGAGAGAGGTAGAGGAGGTGGGTGGGGGAAGAGGAGGAAACAATAAACAAAAGAAACAAACACAGACACACAGAGAGAAAGACTCTATATAGAGATAATTAATATCCTCTGACATAAGAGACAATTCTGTAACCATGAGCAAGAACAGGATGCCATAAAAAGGGAAGTTCAGAGAACAACAACAAGCGCTTGGAAATGAAAACACAATAGCACAAATGAAAAACCAATAGAAGAGTAGGACTATGTCAAGGAGTTCTCCCCAAGAACACAACAAAGGCATAAACATATGGAAAATTGGAGGGAAAATTATTTTTTTAAAAATCGAATACCTGAACAGGGAATCCAGTATCTAAATACTGGTGGGCCCAGAAAGAAAGAACAGAGAAATCTGATGGTACATAATTTTCATCAAGGAAATAATTGAAGAAAGTTTCCCAGAACTGAAGGAGCACCTGAGTTACCAGATTAAAAGACACTGAGTGCCTACCGCAAAAAAAAAGGATAAAAATAGACCTACATCAAGGGACACCATTATGAAATTTCAGAACCCTGAGGAAAAAGCAAATAATACACAAAGACTGAGAATCAGAATGGCTTGGAAATTCTCAACAGCAACACTGAAAGCTAGAAGAAAGAGGAGCAATGCCTCAAAAATTATCATGAAAAATAATTGTCTTCTTAGATTTAATTTCCAGTGAGATTCTTAATCTCATATAAGAATAGATGGATGATATTTTTAGGGCATGAAATATTTCAAAACCTTATCTCCCATGCAGTCCTCTCTAAGGAAGTTACCAAAGGATGTGCTCCACTAAAATGAGGGAGGAAACCAAGAATAGGAAACAAGAAATTTAACACAGGGGAGGGGCAAAGAATTCCCTGGAAGTTGGCGAAAGGAAATTCCAGGATGAGAGCCCAATACCAGGCAGAGAGAGCAAACATCCAGATTTGGTCAAAGGTGAAAAGCTCCAGAGAAATTTCTCAGTGAAGACAAAATTGTTGTTTCTGAATATTTGAGAGGCAATCTAGACCAGTATTGTCCATTAGAACTTTCTGTGATGATGGGAATGTTCTATATCTGTGCTGTCCAATACAGTAGCCACTAGCTAGAACACTTGAAATGTTTATTAGTGTGACTGAAGAACTGAACTTATTGTTTTATTTAGTCAAAATTAATTTAAATTTAAATTCTAGTAGCCATGTGGTTAGTGGCTACCATTTTGGGCAGTGCAGATAATCAGCATAAAGTTTGGAATTGATTTAGGAATAAGTAAAGAGAAAACTGAGCCAATGAAAAACAATTATTAGCTGTAAGGAAAACAAAAATTTGTACAAGAAAGGAAAAGCAATCATGGCTTATGACAACTCAACTCTGTATAAAATTATGTAGTTATAATAACATAAGCATCAGTTACTGACTTAACCCAAATTATATTATACACGGAAAAGTTGTTAGGTGTCTTATTTTATTTTTTCCTTCACATAGCAAAATAGTACAAATATTTTCTCTGGGTCAATTATTTTGTCTAATTTTTTTTTTCGAGACGGAGTCTCGCTCTGTCACCCAGGCTGGAGTGCAGTGGCACTATCTCAGCTCACTGCAAGCTCTGCCTCAGCCTCCCAAGTAGTTGGGACTACAGGCACCCGTCACCACGCCCGGCTAACTTTTTTGTATTTTTAGTAGAGACGGGGTTTCACCGTGTTAGCCAGGATGGTCTTGATCTCCTGACCTCGTGATCTGCCCGTCTCGGCCTCCCAAAGTGCTGGGATTACAGGTGTGAGCCACCGTGCCTGGCGCCTGTCTAATATGTTTTTAAGGAATACACAGTACTTCATTTTATTGTTCTTCCAAAATTTACTGAACTAATACTTCACTGAGGGACATGTAGGTTGTTTCCAATTTGAGACAATTATCAATAGGACTTTGCTGATTAACACTATGGATCACTACTTTTTAAAATTCAACTGTAATAAGGCAAACTTTACATGAAACAGAATGTAAAAAATGCACCTATTTTTGGATGTTTTCTTTGCATTTTGATAAATGTATATATCCTTGAAACAACCACCACAATCAAGATATAAAACATCTCATCACCCTAAAAAAAGTTCCTCTATGCCTCTTTGCACTAAATTCCACCCCCACACCAGGCAAACACTTATTTGTTTCCATTCATTATAAAGTTAGTTTGCTTCCTCCAGATTTTCATGTAAATGAAATTATACGGTATTTAGTCTTTTGCATCTAAGTTTTTTTCTTTTTCTTTCCCTTTCTTTTCACAGGTGTTGATGTGTCTGAATTTTTTGACTTTTAAATATTCATTAACAGTTTTGCATGTATCATTTGTTTGTTCTTTTTTATTGCTAGTAATAATTCACTGTACAAAGATACCACAATTTGCTGATCCTTTCACCTATTGATGGACACGCGGGTTAATTCCAGTTTGGAACTATTATGAATAAAGCTGCTATGAACATTAATGTACAGGTCTTTTTGTGACTGTACACCTTTATTTCCCTTGGGTAAATACCTAGGAGTGAAAATTTCTGCATCATATAGTAAGTATATGTTTATAGGAATTTGATAAAATATTTTCCAATGCACTGGTCTTGAACTACTGGGCTCAAGTAATCCTTCCACCAGGGCCTCCCAAAGTGCTGGAATTACAGATGTGAGCCACCACGCCCAGCCCATTAATACATATTTTCCTGTGATATGTCTTCAAATTCTTGATATTTTTAAAAATGGAGTTGTCTTATTATTATGTTGTAGATTTTTTTAAATGTAGTCTAAATACAAGTTCTTTGTCAGATATAGGTATTAAGAATATTTTTTCCCAGTTTTTGGCTTGCCTTTTCATTTTCTTAATAATGTCTTTGGGAGAGAAGTTTTTTTATTATGATGAAGTCCTGCTTATCAGTATTTTTTTCTTTTATGGTTAGTACTTTTAGGGAACCGCCTAAGAAGTTTTTCCTGAAAGTTTTATCCCATGTTTCCGTCCAGAAGTTTTATAATTTTAGCTCTTATGTGTAGGTCTTTAATCTATTTATAGTCAATCTTGTGTACAATGTGAGGTAAGGATTGAGGTTCATTTTTTTTTCCATATGACTATCCAGTTGTTCCAGTACTACTAGTTAAAAAAAAACCCCACCTTTTACCTTGATACCTTTATAAAAAATTATTGACTACATACGTGTGGGTCTACTTCTGAACTCTCCATTCTGTTCCACTGATCTATATGTCTATCCTTAGCACAATGTCTTGAAATCTGATAAAGTTCTCCTTGTTCTTTTTCAAAAATTTTATGACTTTTCTAGTTTCATTCCATTTCCACTTAAATTTTAGAATCAACTTGTAAAGGCTGTAAAGTTTTGATTGGGATTGCATTGAATGTATAGATCAATTTGGGGAAAATTAACATCTCACTTGAGTCTTCCAATCCATGAATATGGTACATATCTGCATTTATTTAAGTCTTCGTTAATTTCTCTCAGCAACATTTTGTAGTTTTCATTGTACACATCTTGGCATATGTCTTATTAATTTAGCCCTAAGTATTTCATAAATTTTTATAGTATTGTAAATGGTATTTAGAAATTTCATTTCCAGTTTTTCATTTATAATATAGAGAAATACAATAAATTTCTATGTATTAATCTGTGACCTTGATAAATTCATGTATTATATATTAGTTCTGGTGGTGTCTTTCTTGTAGATTTCTTAGGATTTTCTATTATACAGTCATGTCATTCTCAAAAAAGTTTAAGTTTTACTTCTTCCTTTCCAATCTATATACCTTTATTTCTTATTCCTACCTTAATTAGCTGGTGGGACCTCTAGTATGATGTTGACTATAAGTGGTAAGAGTCTTATTCCCTGTCTTAGGTGCAAAGTGTTTAATCTTTCACCATTAAGTATAATGTCACCTTTAGGTTCTTTGTAAATGTCTTTTATACAGTCAAGGAAGTTCCTTTATACTCCTTGTTTTCCTGAAGTTTTCATTTTTTCTTTTCTTTTCTTTTTTTGAGACAGAGTCTTGCTCTGTCGCCAGGCTGGAGTGCAGTGGCATGATCTCGGCTCACTGCAACCTCTGCCTCCTGGGTTCAAGTGATTCCCCGGCCTCAGCCTCCCAAGCAGCTGGGACTATAGGCACGCGCCCCCAGGCATGGCTAATTTTTTTTTTCTATTTTAGCAGAGATGGGGTTTCACCATGTTGGACAGGATGGTCTCAATCTCCTGACCTCGTGATCCACTGGCCTCAGCCTCCCCAAGTGTTAGGATTACAGGCATGAGCCACTGCGCCTGGCCAAAGCTTTCATATTTTCAAGTCACAAATGGATGTTGAATTTTATTGAATACTTTTTTTCTGCATCTATAGAGATGATCATGTGGTTCTTCTCCTTCATTCTGTAACATGGGGAATTACATGGACTAATTTTCACTTTTTAAACCAACCATGCATTCCTGGGATAGACCACATTAGTCATGACACATTATCCTTTCCATATATTGCTGGATTCAATTTTCTACTATTTTGTTAAGGACATTTGCAGCCATAGTCATGAGAGATATTGTGGTCCATAGTTTTGTTTTCTTGGAGTGTCTTCAGTTTTAGTATCAGGGTAATTCTGGCCTCATAAAATGAGTTGTGAAGCCTTCTCCTCTATATTCTTAAAGAATTTGTTCAAAATTAGTATTATTTCTTCCTTGATTATTTGATATAATTCATCAGTTTGTAACATTTACAGACATTATCATTTAAAATCCCACCAAATTTCTGGAATTTCAATTACACACAGCTTAGACTGTTTGATGTTGTCACATAAGTCACTGAGGCCCTATTCTTTTCATTTTGTTTTTTCATTATGTTTCAATTTGAGTGACTTCTATATTCTACTTCAAGTTCACTGACCTATTTTTTTATAGCTTCTAATCTGCTGTTAAACCCATCCAGTGATATTTTAAAATTTCAGATATGGTATTTTTCAGCTCTAGGGTCTATTTGGACCTTTTCAAAAACTCCTTCCATTTTTCTCTTCATTATATTGATGTTTTCCTTTAAATATTTGAGCATATTTATAATAGCTTTTCCCCTTTTATTTTATTGAGGTACAATTTACATGCAGTAAAATTGTTCTTTATAATGTACAGTTCTGTGAATTTTGACAAATGTATACACAACCAGTTTCATCAGCCCCAAAATTCCTCCATGTCCCTTTGTAGTTAAACCTCACACTCAGCCCTGGCAACTACTGATTTTTTTCTGTGCCTATAGTTTTGCCTTTGCCAGAATATTGTGTAAGAGATCAATTTCCCACATGTCAGTGTGAGGAGCTCCACAGACCAGCTCTCCAGCAAAACTGCTAAAAACTATTTTTAAAAATTGAAGTCTCTGTTATACCTAAAGGCATACAGTAATTGAAGAAGCCTCCGTTCAAGAATATCTTCTAAAATTTGCCAAGAACAACAAAAGTTGGTGGTATTTGAACCAAGACCATTTCCTCCACCCTCCCAGCTCAGTTACATTCCACTCCATTCCATTATAGATTGGGATAGCCAAGAACACAAGCCTCCCTCTCTCCCAAGCTCCCAATCTGAGGGCTATCTTCATGGGAGGAAAAGAACGTTAGTATTTTTCTTCTTGCCTCCAGCTATTGCTAAATTCTATGTTGAGTATGGCCATGAGGTGGGGGCTCATGGTGAGATGGAAGTTTTGTGTAGGATACAGTACCACTATACTTCCAGCCTCACTGGTGAAATGGAAGTTCTGCCTAGGGTACTGTACCACCGAGAATGCTGAGGTCTCAATCACCCTTGCCCTGGCTTGTAAGGTCGTGGTTCTATGCTGGGAGAGGCAAGCTGAGAAGATCTGAGTCTACTGTCCCCCCTCCACTCGGCCATCAGCTCCTAAAGCTGCATGTCACTGAGAGATAAGCACACCGTTGTCCCCGTACCTAGCTCCAGAGCTGTGGCTCAGATATTTTTCCAAGGGGAGAAGCAGTGCATAAAATAGCTCCTAATCTCTTTCCAAAGACAGTGACTTTATTGCAACAGAGCATGAAGAAGTTCAAGGATAAGGACATGCTCAAATACAATGGAGGTTGTATCAAAAGGCAATTGGAAGGAGATTGGTAGATTCATTACAGGTATTTGCTAAACTGTAGGCTGGCCAGTTTTCAGGAGAGAATCAGGAAATAGATAACTGAGAGAAGTCCTCCTGTGGTCAGAACAAATTTCAAACACTGGAACCTCAGTAACTATCCCTTTAAAGAAGTCCAAATTTGATTTGATTAAACTGTAGAGTAATATATGCCTGGGACACTGATGAAAATAATGGAGCAATCACCAGCAATTAGTTGTGTTTAATAACTGGGCAGGGAAAGAATTGGCCAAAGAAAGCCCAGATGAAACCGCTGTATTAGGCTGTTCTTGTGTTGGTACAAAGAAATATCTGAGGCTTGGTAATTTATAAGAAAAGAGGTTTAATTGGCTCATGGTTCTGTAGGCTGTACAGAAAGCATAGCACTGGCATCAGCTTCTGGTGAGGGCCTCAGGAAGTTTACAATCATGGCAGAAGGCAAAGGGGGAGCAGGTGTCTCACATGGCAAGAGTGGGAGCAACAGAGAGCACAGAAGTGCCACACACTTTTAAACAACCAGATCTTGCAAGAACTCACCATTACAAGGGCAGCACAAAGCCATGAGGGATCTGCACCCATGACCCAAACACCTCCCATCAGGCCCCACCTCCAGTTACATTTCAACATGAGGATTGGGCAGGACAAATATCCAAGGCATATCAACCATCATTATCCCAGGGTGACTGTGGGGCATACCTAAGGCTGCACTTCTGAGTAAGAAAAAGATCCACAAATAGACATATCATAGTAAAAATGCTGAAAACCAAAGACATGGAGAAAATCTTAAAAACAACAAGAGAAAAATGACTCATTGCTAACAAAGGAACCCCTATAACGAAAACAGCTGATCTCTCAGCAGGAACAATGGGGGCCAGTGAGGTAGTAAGACAACATATTCAAAGTGCTCAAAGGAAAAAAAAACTGTCAGCCAAGAATTCTTTATTCAGCAAAGATATCTTTAAAAAACAAAGGTAAGATAAAAACACTTCCAGATAAACAAAAACTGAGAGAATTTTGCTAGCAGATTCATCTTACAGGAAATACTAAAGAAAATTATTCAGGCTGAAAATTATCACACACAATAATTCAAACCGACTTGAGAAAACAAAGAGCATCAGTAAAGATGCTCTTATAATGCAATTATAAAAGGCAATGTAAATGCACATTTTTCTCCTTTCTTCTCTTAAATAAACTAAATTTTATATAGTAAGTTGTGTAAAATAATATGCATATGGTATATTGTTTGACCTAAAACTTCAACAAATGTAGTATATTTGCCAATAATAGCACAAAGAAGCTGAGTAGGAGAAAAGCTGTTTGGGCAAGGAAATAGCTACAGATGATAAAGTACCAATTAAACAATAATTGTTGATCTTGTACCATTAATAGATGTAATACATAAAAAAAATACCAAAAAGGGACAAAAGAGACTACATAAGGATAACATTGCCATGTCTCACTGGAATTAAGCTAGCATAAACCTGAAACTGATTCTGATAAGTTAGGATGTGCATGATAAGCCCTAGTGCAACTACTAAAGAAATTCAAAAAAATAGTGAAAAAAATTAAAGAAATTAAAATGCTTCATTCACTCAGTGCAAGGAAAACAAGTCAAGGAGGAATAGAGGTACAATAAACACATATAAAACACATAGAAATAAAAAGTAAAATGACTGTCATAAACCAAATATATCAATAGTAACATTAAACATGAATGGATTAAGCAAACCCATCAAAAGGCAGAGGTTGTAACTGGAGATAATAAGGGGCATTTGGGGATAATAAAAGGATCAACCTGTCAATAAAATAAAATAAATATAAATATATGCACCTAATGTTAGAACACAAAAAATATGAAGAAAAACTGATCAAGAAAGAAACAGACAATTCAACAATAATAGCGTCAGACTTCAATACCTGAACTTCAGTAATGAATAGGACAATTAGGCAGAATATCTGAACAACAGTCTAAACTAACTAGACCTAACAGATATATATATATAGAACACTATACCCAGTAACAGCAGAATATACAGTCTTCTCAAGTGCACATGGAATATTCTCCAGCATAAACCATATATTTACTTTTTTTTGAGTCAAGGAGACAGGGTCTCACTCTGCTGCTCAGGCTGGAGTGCAGTGGAGTGATCACAGCTCACTACAACCTTTACCTCCCAGGCTCAAGCAATTCTCCCAGCTCAGCCTTTCAAGTAGGTAGGACCACAGGCGCATGCCACCACGCCTGGGTGGTTTTTGTTTGTTGGTTGGTTGGTTGGTTTTTTGTTGTTTTTTTGTAGAGACTGGGTCTCACTATGTTGCTCAGGCTAGTCTCAAACTCCTCACCTCAAGCCATTCTCTTGCCTCAGCCTCTCAAAGTGCTAGGATTACAGGTAAGAGCTATCGCACCCAGCCCGTAAACCGTATGTTAAGGCACAAAACAAACCTCAACAAATGTAAAAGGATAGAAATAATAAAAAGTATGTTCGGCTGGGCGCAGTGGCTCACACTTGTAATCTCAGCACTTTGGGAGTCCAAGGCGGGCAGATCACAGGATCAGGAGTTCAAGACCAGCTTGGCCAATATGGTTAAACCCCATCTCTATTAAAAATACAAAAAAATTAGCCGGGGGTGGTGGCACATGCCTGTAATCCCAGCTACTTGGGAGGCTGAGGCAGGAGAATCACTTGAACTCAGGAGGCGGAGGTTGCAGTAAGCCGAGATTGTGCCACTGCACTCCAGCCTGGGTGACAGAGCAAGACTCCGTCTCAAAAAAAAAAAAAAAAAGTATGTTCTCTGACCTCACTGGAATGAAATAAGAAGCTAATAACAGAATAAGATTTGGAAAACTCAAATGTATGTGGAAGGGCTTGAGGGATAAAAGACTACAAATTGAGTACAGTGTATACTGCTCAGGTGATGGGTGCACCAAAATCTCACAAATCACAACTAAAGAACTTACTCATGTAACCAAACACCACCTGTTCCCTGATAACCTATGGAAATAAAAAAATTAAATAAAAAAGTATGTGGAAATTAAACAACATACTCCTAATAACCAATGGATCAAAGAATAAATCAAAAGGGAAATCAGAGGTGGCTCATGCCTGTAATCCCAGCACTTTGGGAGGCCGAGGTGGGTGGATCACTTGAAGTCAGGAGTTTGAGACAAGCCTGGCCAACATGGTGAAACCCCGTCTTTACTAAAAATACAAAAATTAGCTGGACATGGTGGTGCATGCCTGTAATCCCAGCTACTCAGGAGGCTAAGGCAGGAGAATTGCTTGAACCCAGGAGGCAGAGGTTGCAGTGAGCCGAGGTCATTCCACTGCACTCCAGCCTGGGTGACAGAGAGAGAGAGATACTGTGTCAAAAAAATAAAGGGGAAATCAGAAAATACTTCAAGATAAATGAAAATGAAGATACAACATAACAAAACATAACACTGCTAAAGCATTGCTTAGAGGAAAATTTACAACTGTAAATGCCTATATTAAGAAAGGAGATCTCAAATAACCTAACTTTCCACCTTAAGACACTGGAAAAAGTGCAAACTAAACCTAAAGCAAGCACAGGAAGGAAATAATACAGATTAGTGTAGACATTTATGATATGGAGAATTAAAAAATAGTGACAATCAGTGAATCCAAAGCCTGATTCTTTGAAAGATCAACAAAATTGACAAACCTTTAGCCAGCTTGACCAAGTAAATAAAAGACTAAAATTACCAGAATTGGAAATAAAAGACCAGATATTACTGCTGACCTTACAAAAATAAAAAGCATTATAACAGAATACTATGAACAATAATATGTCAATAAATTAGATAACTTAGATGAAATGGAAATTGCCTAAATTACACAAAATACCAAAACTGACTCAAGAAGAAATTGAAAATATGAATATATCTATAACAAGTGAAGACCTTGAATTAACAATTTTTAAAACTATCCACAAAAAGAAAAGCCCAGTCACAGATAGCTTCACCACTAAACTCTACCAAACATTTAAAGAAGAATTAATACTAACTCTTCACAAACTCTTCCAAAAAGTAGAAGATAAGTAAAAACTTTTCAATTCATTTCTCTCTCTCATGCACACTTTTTCTTTTTTATTTTTTTGACAGAGGCTCACTTTGTTGCCCAGGCTGGAGTGCACTGGCGCTATCTCAGCTCACGGCAACCTCTGCTTCCCAGGTTCAAGCAATTCTTGTGCCTCAGCCCCCCAAGTAGCTGGGATTACAGGTGTGTACCACCATGCAGGGCTAATTCAACTCATTTTTATGAAGCCAGTGTTACCCTGACACCAAAACCAAAGGCAACACAAGAAAACTACAGATCAATATCTCTCATGCATTAGACACAAAAATCCTCAACAAAATACTAGGAAAACATCTAGCAATATAAATACACACACACACACACACAGATACACGTACACACAATGATAAAGGGGGATCTATCTCAGGAATGCAAGCTTGGGTTAATATCTGAAAATCAGCTAATGTAATACATTATATCAAAAGAATAAAAAGCAAAAATCACATGATCATTTCAAGAGATGCAGGAAAAGCATTTGACAAAATCCAACACCCTTCCATGATTAAAAAAACACTCAGCAGACTAAGAAGGGAACTTCTTCAACATAACAAAGGGCACCTAAAACAAAAACCCATACCTAATGATGAAAAATTAGATGCTTCTCTAAGATTAGGAACAAGACAAGGACGTCTCTTCACTTCTATTCAACATTGTAATGGAGGTTCTAGCCAGGGCAATTAGATAAGAAAAGGAAATAAAAGGCATCCAGATTAGAAAGGAAGAAGTGAAACTATATCTATTTGCAGATGGCATGCTTTTGTATATAGAAAATCCTCAGGAATCCTCTAAAAAAATTAGGATATAGAAAGTAATCAGGAATCTTCTAAAAAAAACTATTAGAACTATTCAACGAGTTCAGCAAGCGTATCAGTCAGGGTTCTCTAGAGAAACAGAACTAGTAGGATGAAAAAATATATATATAAGTATATATATATGTAGAGAGAGAGACAGGTTATTTATATATATATATGTATGTAGAGAGAGAGAGACAGAGGATATATATATATATATATATATATATATATATAGTACAGTTCATATATATATATAAACACATTTATTATAAAGAATTGGCTTATCCAATTATGGAGGCTGGCAAGTCCAATATCTACAGTGTGAACCAGCAGGCATGAGACCCAGGAAAGTTGATGATGCGGTTCCAGTCTGAAGGCCAACAGGCTAGAGACCCAGGAGAGTCAATGGTGCAGATGAAGTCTAAGGCAATCTGCTGGAGCATTCCCTCCCGCTCAGGGAGGCCAGTCTTTTTGTTCTATTCAGGCCTTCAACAAATTCAATGAGATCCACACACATCATGGAGTGTTAGTTTTACTTTACTCAAAGCAACCTGCTTAACTTAAAGTTTACTGATTTAAATGTTAATTTCATCCAGTAGCACCCTCCAAGTTGACACATAAAATTAACTATCCTACCAAGGTTGTAGAATACAAAATCAGTATACAAAATTCAAAAGTATTTCTATATACCTGCAATGAATAATACAAAGATGAAAATTTATTCCCAAGTATTTTATTCTTTTCATGCTATTGTGCAGTTCACATACTATTCACATACTATTATGAACAGTATGAAAAGAATGCTCATGAATAAATTTAACAAAATAAATACAAAATTTATAATCTAAAAACCACAAAACATGGCTGAAAGAAATTAAAGAAAATCCAAATAAATGAAAATGGAATGGAAGACAATATTTATAAATTGTATATCTGGTAAGGAATCTACCCAGAATATATAAAGAACTCTTACACCTCAGTAATAAAAGGACAAATGACCGTTTTTAAAATGGGCAAAGGAAGCTGGATGCAGAGGCTCATACCTGTAATTCTTGCATTTTAGGGGGCCAAGGTGAGAGGAATGCTTGACTCCAGGAGTTCGAGACCAGCCCAGGAAACATGGCGAGACCCCATCTCCACAAAAATATTTTAAAAATTACCCAGGCATGGCGGTGCACACCTATGGTCCCAGCTTCTCTGTTGCCTAGGCAACAGAGCAAGACTCTGTCTCAAAAAAAAAAAAAATGGGCAAAAGATCCGAATATACATGTCTCCAAGGAATATATATAAATGGATAAGAAGCACATGAAAAGATGCTTGACATCATTAGTCATTAGAGAAATACAAATTAAAACCACAATGAGGTACCACTTACTTTGCACCCACTAGGATGGCTAGAATCAAAAAGTGAGACAATACCAAGTGCTGGTAAGGATGTGGAGAAATTGGAACCCTCATACACTGATGTTGGGAATGTAAAATGGTACAGCCACTTTGGAAGAATTTTGGAGTTCTCCAAATGATTAAACACATATGACCCAGCAATTCTATTCCTAGGTATATATCCAAGAAAATTAAAAATAGATACTCAAAAAGAACTTATATACAAATGTTTATAGCAGCATTATTCACAATAGCCAAAAGGTTGAAAGAACCCAAATGCCCATCACTAATACATGGATAGACAAAATGTGGTGTATCCGTACAATGGAGTATTATTCAGCCATAAAAAGGGATGAAGTAATGACACATGCCATACATGGATGAACTTTGAAAACATGATGCTGCCCTTTTGGCTGAAAAGCACATGGTAGTTGGCAAGAACAAGCACTTTATGAAAGGTGGCAAAAGCAAGCCAAGAAGAAAGTGGTTGATCCATTTTATTTCTTTCTTTCTCTCCCTCCTTCTTTTCTTTCTTTCATTTTTTATTTCTCTCTGTCTCTTCCTTTCCTTCTTTCCATTCCCCCTCCCTCCCTCCCTCCCTTCCTTCCTTCCTTTTTTGAAACAGGGTCTTGCTCTGTAGCCCTGGTTGCAGTGCAGTGGTGTGATCAACAGCTCACTGCAGCCTTGACCTCCTGGGCTCAAATACCTTGACCCATTTTCTAAGAAAGATTGGTATGATGTGAAAGCACCTGCTATGTTCAGTATAATAACTATGGGAAAGACACTCATCGCCAGGACTCAAGGAATCAAAATTGCATCTGATGGCCTCAAGGGTCATGTGTTTGAAGTGAGTTTGTCTGATGTGCAGAATGATGAAGTTGCATTTAGAAAATTCAAGCTGATACTGAAGATGTTCAGGGCAAAAATGCCTGATTAATTTCCATGGCATGGATCTTATCTGTGACAAAATGTGTTCCATGGCTAAAAAATAGCAGACCATGATTTAAGTTCACATTGATGTCAAGACTATCAATGATTATTTACTTTGTCTGTTTTGTGTTGATTTTACTAAAAAATGCAACAATTACACATGGAAGACTTCTTACAATTGACACTAACAGGTCTGCCAAATCCAGAAGAAGATGATGGAAATCATGACCCAAGAGGTGCAGACAAATGACTTGAAAGAAGTGGTCAATAAATTGATTCCAGACAGCACTGGAAAAGACATAGAAAAGGCTTGCCTATCTGTTTATCCTCTCCATGGTGTCTTCATTAGGAAAGTAAAAATAAAGAAGCCCAAGTTTGAATTGGGAAAACTCATGTAGCTTCATGGTGAAGGTAGTAGTTTTGAAAAAGCTACCAAGGATGAGAAAGGTGCTAAAATTGAATGAGCTGATGGATATGAACCATCGGTCCACGAATCTGTTTAACATTCAGACTTTTAATAGTGTCAAATTAAAAGCCCTATTTGTGGAAAAAAAAAAAGAAGAAGAAAAGAAAACACAATGTTAAGTGAAAGAGGTCAGTCACAAAATTCATCATAGTATATGACTTCATTTATTTGAAATATATCATAATAGGCGAATCTGGAGACAGAAAATAGATTAATGATTATTTAGGACTGGGGGAGAGGAGAAATAAGACAGGAAGGTGAAAGCTAAAGAATACGGGTTTTTTTCAGGTGATGAAAATCTTCTAAAATTTTGACTGTAGTGATGGTTGCAAATCTCTGTGACTATAACTAAAAACCATTAAGTTGTACATTTTAAATGAGTGAATTGCATGGTAAATAAATTACATTTCAAGCTATTAAAAACAGAAAAAATGTTGTACAAATAGAATCAAATAGTATGTAGTCTTTTGATTCTGGCTTCTTTAACTTATCATGCATTTGCAACTCACCCATGTTGTTGCATGTTTCAGTAGTTTGTTCCTTTTTGTCTTAAGTTTATCCATTCCCTAATTAAGAAACACCTAATTGTTTCCATACTTTGAAGATTATGAATAGAGTTGCTGTAAACATTTGCATACATTTTTGTGTGTAAACATAGGCTATCATTGTACTTGGTATAACAGCTGTTTTAAAGTCCTTATCTACTAATTTTATCATTGCTGAAATTTCTGGGCTTGCCTCTACTGACTGGTGTCCCTCAGGTTATGGATCAGTTTTCCTGCTGCTTTACATATCAAGAAACTTTTATTAGATTCTGAACAATAAGAATGTTACATTGTTGAATGTTTGAATTTTGTTATCTTTCTTAAAAATTGTTTTGGCAGGCAGATAAGCTTGATCCTTTTGAGGCATATTTTAAAACTTTATTAGATTAAATCTGGAGGGTTTTACTAAAAGTTTGGTTTAGCTCTACTGCTAACATGTAACCCTTCTGGAGTCTCTATTGAATGTTCTGAGTGTTCGAGAAGGGCTCTCCATTTGACTGGTAATTATGTGAACATCTCCCATCCCTGTGAGAGCTCTGGGAATTGTTAAGTTGCCAGTTTTCTTTGTCCAGGCTTGTGGAGTTTTGACCCACACCTGAAAAGCTGAATATTAAAAGACTCAAGGAACCCCTATGCTGATTTCTGGATCTCCTTCTCTGTATAGTTCCCTGCCCTCTGATATTCTGTTTCCAACTGCCTCAGATTCCCCATACTCCAGTCTCTTTCTTCGACTCAGCAAGACTGCCATGCTCTGCTTGGGTTCTCTCTCCCTGAACCAGTGGTCTGGAAGGTGCCTCCTAGCAGGAAGCTAGGGCAATTTTAAGACTGGTCTCACTTTTCTTCTGTCAAGGATCCCATTCCTGTGTGCCTGTTATCTAATGTCCAAAAACAGTTGCTTCATATATTTTGCCCAGTTTTCTAGTTGTTTACAGCAAGAGGGTAACTCTTACATTACTCTTTCATGAGTGAAAGTGGAATTTGGTCATTCTAATATAGGGTTTTTACCTCTCTTCTGAAATTTTACACGCTCTCCCCTACATAGGTGAATATATGATTTAACAGGTTGAGTATGAGTTTTGGAGCCAGACAGACCTAGATTGAAATATTGATTTTGATGCTCTCTAGTTGGGCAACCTTGGACATGCTACTTAATGTCTTTGAACTTCTGTTTCTTCAGCTATAAAATATCACGCAAAGTTGTTGTTGGGATTAATTGGGTTCACAAATATACACAGCCTTTTGTGGGCACTTAATAAATGGTGGCTATTATTATTATATAATAAATAGCTATTTGTTTGTTTCTCTTCCTCTAATCAATTTTGAATCAGGGATTTGGCCCATTCTTCTTTGTGTACACTACCCTCCTATGATGACTCAAGCATAGTAGGCCTCAATATAAATTTATTGACTGAATAAATGCTGATAACCTATTGTTGATTAGAATATAGTAGAACTTTTTTTTTCTTTTTTTGGTGACAGAGCAAGGCTCTGTTGGTACACACACGAGATTATGCTTGTAACAAATCTAAGCATCATAAGAGGAGTAATTCTTTTAGCATTTATATTAGGATCTCAAAATTGAGAGCTAAGACTTCAGAAGACCAGTCCTTCTGACAATGGTAAAGAAAAGTTAGAAACACAATTGGCCTCATTTTCTCCTGGATTTGGCAGACCTGTTAGTGTTAATTGTATATATATACATATATATAATATATTTATTTATGATTATACTTTAAGTATAATCATAAATATATATATTTATGATTATATATATATAATCATATATATTATATGCTGGAGTGCAATGGTGTGATCTCGGCTCACTGCAACCTTCGCCTCCCGGGTTCAAGTGATTTTCCTGCCTCAGCCTACCGAGTAGTTGGGATTACAAGCATCCGCCACAATGCCTGGCTAATTTTTTGTATTTTTGGTACAGACAGGGTTTCACCATGTTGGCCAGGCTTGTCTCGAACTCCTGACCTCAGGTGATCACCCGCCTTGGCCTCGCAGAGTGCTGGGATTACAGGCATTAGCCACCACACCTGGCCCCAGTAGAACATTCTTTTAAACTTTCTTCACAATGAGCTTCATGTAGCCTTGTTTAAATGTCAAAATGATACCTTTAGTGATAAAGTTTGTTTGTTCCAACTTTGGTCATCAAAGCAGAAAGAGCCCTCCATTGGGCAGAAAAAAAGCACACCTAGGTAGTGGCTCATAAAGTATACAGTCATCCCTCTGTATCCATGAGGAATTGGTTTCAGGGCACACACACTCCACACCTACAGATAGGAAATCTATGGATGCTCAAATCCCTTATAAAAAATGGCACAGTATTGGCATATAATATGCACATCCTATGTACATATTCCCATGTATATTAAATTATCTCTAGATTATTTATAATACCCAATACGACATAAATGCTATGTAGTTATACTGTATTGTTTAGGGAACCATGGGGGACAAGAAAAAAAGTCTGTACATGTTCAGTACGGACCCAATCATCCTTTTTTTTGTTTTTTGTTTTTAACAGTTTAAACCCACAGTTGGCTGAATCCACTAATGCAGAACCCACAGATACAAAGGGCCAATTGCAAACCACCATGGCATGTGTATACCTATGTAACAAGCCTGCATGTTCTGCACATGTATCCCAGAACTTAAAGTATAATCATAAATAAATATATTATATATATATGTATATATATACAATTAACACTAACAGGTCTGCCAAATCCAGAAGAAAATGAGGCCAATTGTGTTTCTAACTTTTCTTTACCATTGTCAGAAGGACTGGTCTTCTGAAGTCTTAGTTCTCAATTTTGAGATCCTAATATAAATGCTAAAAGAATTATTACTCCTCTTATGATGCTTAGATTTGTTACAAGCATAATCTCATGTGTGTACCAACAGACAATTTAGCATCAAATAGAAAACTTTAACACACATAATGGTATTAGGAAAATCAGCCAACTGAATATAGTTATAGGAAATTGGGTAACATTATCATTATACTTTTTTCCAATGTGCAATTGAATAAAATCTCAATGAAGTCACTTTGAAAAAAATCTGAGTTTAAATGAAACCTAATATTTCATTGATTTTGGTGTAATGATAACATTGTATTATTAGAGGCATCTCTTTTTTAACCAAACAGAATATTCTGTCTTACTCTTTTTTAAACAAAATTTATTTATTTTAATGCTAGGGCTTATTAATTGTAACATCCAAAGCATTTCTACCTAAGATTACTCACTGTGTTTGACTTTTTTTTCTGCTATAATACATATCAGTATACTTCTTTAATGTGAGTGAAACATATACAGATAATCAGTGTGGCTCTTCCTACTCACAAAAGGAAAGAAGTAATTCTCTGATGTTATAGAATGATTCATATAAAAAAAGAAATGACTTATAAGACTGATGGGAAAGTCAACCAACTTTCATTCCTCTTTGCACAGTTAACAGAGGATAGCAATTACATTCTGGATTGCAAAACAGAAAAATTAATTGGAAATAATTTTCTGTTTGACAAAAGGAAACTTAATGAAAAGGACTAGAGTCTCATGATGAAGAAAGAATGATGTGTGTGTGTGTGGTTTTTTGGTTTTGTTTTTTTTTTTTTGAGACGGAGTCTCCCTCTGTCTCCCAGGCTGGAGTGCAGTAGCCTGAGTGATCTCAGCTCACTGCAACCTCTGCCTCCCAGGTTCAAACGATTCTCGTGCTGGCTAATTCTTGTATTTTTAGTAGAGACAGGGTTTCACCATGTTGGCCAGGCTGGTCTTGTACTCCTGATCTCAGGTGATCCTCCCGCCTTGGCCTCCCAAAGTGCTGGGATTATAGGCATCAGCCACTGCACCTGGCCTGATGTGTGTGTTTTTTTAAGGCTGGATATTTTCTGCAAATAATGTGCCTCTTCCAGTGCTTTCAATAATCTACCCCACTTCCAAGAATCTGAGATATTCTTGCCAACACTATGTTGTATCAAAGAAGGCATATATGCTTCAGGAGATGTGATGCTATGAAAATCATCAGACTATACCTCAAAAAATGCAAAACTTCAGTTCAGAGTTTAGTGGGAGACAATAGGTTTTGAATGAAAAGGCTCTTGTTTTAATCTACTATCTGAAATACAAAGCAATTCTAAGGAATTCAGAAAAATACCTTTCTAGTCCACACGTAAATGCTGCTATTTACCGTGGAAACAATGTACTTTACATTCTAATTTCTTACAAATAAATCATTTACTTTTTAATTAAGTGTGTTGGCACAAAAGAAATGAGCTTCATGGAGGGAAAGAATACATCAGGTAAACTACATATTGTTATAATTTGTGGATTCTTTTGTGGAATTCATAAAAAAGAAAAAAGCTATCTTAAAACATTATTTTTAAATTGAAATAAGATGCAGAAATCCAGGCAAAATGCAAACCATTTTTATTACACTTAGAAAATAGTGTAATAGAGTGTGTATGTTTGGGATATGCTTAAAAAGCAAACCATTCTTTGTAACTAAATCAAATGATAAACTATTGAATAAACTTTAAAAATACTTGTGGCTCTTATAAGAAAACAGTATTCTCTGCCTTTAGCTCATCCTCAAAAAAAATCATTTGTATGAATTATTTATGCTTCAGTGAAATTGATATGTTACAGATGAAAAAAATGCCATTCTGGATCAAGATTTCTAGTTACAAAAGAAAGGCCTAGAAAAAAGCCTTGTAGAGAGTGTCTAGCAACTGTATTTGGAGGTATAAAGACACATAAGTATTTCAGAAAATTAGAAAATTATAGTAGACCCCTGCCTAAAAATATGGTTAAAATATTAATTCTCAAAGAACTATAATGACTTAATAAACTGGAACAATTAATCTCCAAAATAGACCTGGGCCAACATTAGCCCTCCATCTTTTTATCACTGTCTGTGTAAGTAATTACTAGAATTTTTTAAGGAGATTGGGTTAATTATTTCTACTAGAAAGAAGTACTTTTTCCTTAGCATTTAAACAGCATAAATTTAAGTAAGATTCTACAACAAATTACAGAACATATGTTGATTAGCACCATATAGGTCAGTTCTTTGAAGAAACCTGTCTAAGGATCTTTAGGGGAAGTTGTCTTCAGTGTGTATGTCTACTGCTATCTGCCCAGTTGTCTATGACAGGGAAAAAAAAACAACTTCCCAGGGTTATGTGAAGTGCTTTTGTGTTTGTGTAGACTTAGTAGCTATAGCTTAGGCCTAAAACACCCCTATTAGGAAGGAAGACCTGGCCAGGCATGGTGGCTCTTGCCTGTAATCCCAGCACTTTGGGAGGCGGAGGCAGAGGCGGGTGGGTTGCTTGAGCTCAGGAGTTGGAGACCAGCCTGGGCAACATGGCGAAACCCTGTCTCTATAAAACATATAAAAATTAGCCAGACATGGTGACACGCCCCTGTAGTCCCAGTTACTCGGGTGGCTGAGGTAGAAGAATGGCTTGATCCCAGGAGGCAGAGATTGCAGTGAGCCGAGATCGCGTCACTGCCCTCCAGCCTGGGTGACAGAGTGAGACCCTGTCTCAAAAAAAAAAAAAAAAAAAAAAGAAAAGAAAAGAATGAAGACCTGTCCTGAAAGTGTGTGGGGGGCAGATTAAATGATAAGGACACAATTAGGACAGCGTTTTTCAGACAGGCTTACTGAACCCTGTATTGTCCCGGGATTCCTTGGACAATTCCAACGTTCTATTTTTCAAGTGGAGTTAGGTTTTTAGAGTTCTTATAATTTAAGAATTCCTAAGTTTCAAGCATATGTGCTTTTACAATTCTGAATCCATTGCCAAATTATAATCTCACTTTCACATTATTCCTTGGATCTTAAGAATCACACCAGAAAGTGAATAGCACAATTACTGAATAATTTCAACCATTAGTAGAAACTCTGTTATATTTGCCTTTCTGTGACTGAAATAAGGAATTACCTGAAAAAGAAAATTGTATTAAAATCTTTCTATTTTCAACGGTCTCACAACAAGATGATTGTGTTAAATCCCTTCTTTACTATAGATCATTGGTAGAAAAGCAGTGTAAGCTGTTTGATCAAAAATTTATAAACTTTCTATTTTAATTTTAAATAAAATTTAAATTACAAATTATTTTTAAAGTTTTAAAAAATCTTTGAGTTAGAGATTACCAAGAGTAAAGAAATTTCAGCAAAGCCATGTAGGATACAGGAAAGGCGTGGAACATTCAGTATTGTAATTCTAAGTCACAGAGACAGAATTTCTGATGCTACCATACTGGACTTTCCAACTTGCCTGGAATGTCCTCTGCCATGATCACTGCCAATCAAAATATGATTCATCCACAAAATCACCAAATCAAGCTAGGCATGGTGACACATGCCTATAATCTCAGGTACATGGAAGGCTGAAGTGGGAGGATTGCTTGAGCCCAGGAGTTCAAGACCAGCCTGGGCAATGTAGTGAGAGTGCATCTCAAAGAAAAAAAAAAAATCACCAACTTAATGAAACTTTCCCACACAGTACCAATTTATCCTTTTTTCTGTAATCCTAGTACTTTGGAGTTCAATTGCCTGGGTTTGAATTCTGTCCCTGTTACAAATTCACTATGTATGGAGTCTTGGGCTAATTTCTCTGGCTCAGTTTCCTATTTGTAAAATGAAGATAACAATAGTATCTACCTTATAAAATAGCTAGGAAGATTGAAAGTGATAATATATGTAAAGCTCTGAGAGTGCTCGAAATTGTTAGTTAATATTATTTCTATCATTCATATACTCTCTAGTATTACCTTTTTATTACATTATGTAGGTGTTATCTCTTCAGCCACAATTCTAAAGGGCACAGGCTATATCTTATATGTCTTTATTTTCCTCACAGTGCTTAGCAGGGCATTATTTATTCTCTCTCTCTCTTTTTTTTTTTTTTTTTTTTTTTTTTTTTTTTTTTTTTTGAGATAGAGTCTCACTCTGCCACCCAGGCTGGAGTGTAGTGGCACGATCTCGGCTCACTGCCAGCTCCACCTCCCGGGTTTTTGCCATTCTCCTGCCTCAGCCTCCCAAGTAGCTGGGACTACAGGTGCCCACCACCACGCCTGGCTAATTTTTTGTATTTTTAGTAGAGACAGGGTTTCACTGTGTTAGCCAGGACGGACGGCCTCGATCTCCTGACCTTGTGATCCACCTGCCTCAGCCTCCCAAAGTGCTGGGGTTACAGGCGTGAGCCACCGCGCCCGGCCAGGGCATTATTCTCTTAATAGGGATTCAAAAAATATCCCAGACAATCTTAGCATGAAAGATATCTTAGAGGTCAATCTAGTTCAACCTTCCCTCTAAATCATGATTTTACTTTTGCAACACCCTAATCATATACTCTATCTTGAACACACGTGTATATCTGCACTTGAGCACAGCTGGTGACACTGGAGCTCACCCCCACACAAGGCAACCAGGTTTAAGTAGTTATCATTGTTAGAAAATCCACCCTGAGGAGGTGGAGAAGCTGGCAGCTTCTGGAAAATGATTTGGTACTACTCATTTGAGAGCCATACAAATGTTGAAGCTCTGTAAATTTCACTCCTGATACTATATTCGTAGAAAAATTTTTTAAATGCTTTCATGTGTGCAAAGGTATTTATTATAATACTTTATAATAGCAAAATCAAGAATTAACCTAAATGTTTCAAAGTAGGGAAATGGTAGAGTGCCTAAATAAAACAAGAAGTCATTAAAATTAAAAATATAAAGATTAAAGTGGAACATATTTACAAAATCAATAATGTTAAGTATAAAAGTAAAATAAATTCACATATACCATGATTAAAACCATATACAAATATATAAATCAATGAAAAAATACTGGAGAGGATGGGACATATAAAAATAAAAACAGTATTGATAGGATGGTGGGACGGCGGAAGATTTCCATTGGTTTTTAAATTACTTTAATGTTATAATAACATTGCTTTAAAATTTGTAAAGAGAAAATTCTTCCTTCTATTGAGCCAAAATCAACATAATTTTCATCTACTGGTTCTCATTCTGCCCTTTGCAATTACACAAAATAAATCAACTTAAAATATTTGAAATATTTGAGTGCCTCACTCTCTGGCACCCTGGAAGACAAACTGGAGAGGCAATGATGACATCAAAGAGACCCAGTTAGAAGACTCAACTATCACCAAGAAAGCAATGATGACATCCTGAATCAGCACAGTGGTAACAGCGCTAGATTTGAGAAATACTTCAAAGGCAAAACACATGGAAATGGTGTACCAAAAGAATGTAGAAAGTGAGGAGAAAATAACAGTTGAACATATTCCTGGTTGGGTTGCTTAGAAAAGTGATGGTGCAATACCAAGATAAGGAACCTAGGATGAGGAAGTGCATGTTTGGTCAGAAGTTAAAATTCCATTTGAAGATGTTGAATCTAAGGTACCTGTAGGATATTCATGTCTATACATTTATGGAAGTACAATTTGGAATCAGAAAGACAAACCAAACCAGAGAAATAGAAAAAGACAAAGATGTGCCAGGCGTGATGGCTCACGCCTATAATCCCAGCACTTGAGGAGGCCAAGGCCAGCAGATGGCTTGAACTCAGGAATTTGAGACCAGCCTGGGCAACATGAAGAAATCCTATCTCTAAAACAAATACAAAAATTAGGCTGGGCGTGGTGGTTCACACCTGTAATCCCAGCACTTTGGGAGGCCGAGGTGGGCGGATCACGAAGTCAGGAGTTCGAGACCAGCCTGACCAACATTATGAAACCCCATCTCTACTAAAAATACAAAAACTAGGTGGGTGTGGTGGCACATGCCTGTAATCCCAGCTACTCAGGAGGCTGAGGCAGGAGAATCGCTTGAATCAGGGAAGCAGAGGTTGCAGTGAGCTGAGATCGGGCCACTGCACTCCAGCCTGGGCGACAGAGCGAGACTCCGTCTCAAAAAAAAAAAAAAAAAAAAAAAAAAAGAACTTCTGTTTATAAAACACCTCATTAAGAAAACAACTCGTAAGGTTGAAGAAGATATTCACAATACATGTATCCAACAAAGTACTTATATGCAGAATATATATGCAGAGCTCCTACAAATCAGTAGGATTGAAAGACAATCCAAGAGAAAAAAAGGCAGGGTAGGAGCAAACAATTTGAACAGATACTTCACAAAAGAAAATATTCAACATGGCCAATAAACATATAAAAAGGTGCTCCTCTTCATTAGTTAAAATTAGTTTAATAAATTAAATTAAATAAATTAAAACAACAATGACATACCACAGCACACCCACCAGAATGGCTAAAATCTTAACGATGGAAAACGCCAAGGGTTAGTGAGGATGTAAAGCAACCACAACTCTCATACATTGCTGGTGGGATTGTAAATTGGCACAAATACTTTGGAAACTATTTTGCACTATCTGTTAAAACTAAATATACACATACCCTTTGACCCAGCAATTCTACTCCTAGTAATTCTATTCCCACCAGAAATGTGTAGTTATTTCCCTAAAAAACATGTTCCAGAATATTCAAAGCATTTCTATCCATCATAGACAAAAATTATAAATTATCCAAATTAACATTAGAATGAATAAATTGTCATTAACAATAGAATGAATAAATTGTCAGGATGGTCTACAACAACATGTAAAAATATGGGTAAATCTCACAACATAATGTTAACTGAAAAAATGGTCCATACTCGGCCCTGCGTGGTGGCTCACACCTGTAATCCCAGCACTTTGGCAGGCCGAGGCGGGCTGATCAAGAGGTCAGGAGATCAAGACCATCCTGGCTAACACGGTGAAACCCCATCTCTACCAAAAATACAAAAAATTAGGCGGTGTGGTGGCGGGCGCCTGTAGTCCCAGCTACTTGAGAGGCTGAGACAGGAGAATGGCGTGAACCCAGGAGGCGGAACTTGCAGTGAGCAAAGCAGAGATCGCACCACTGCACTCCAGCCTGGGAGACAGTGGGAGACTCCGTCTCAAAAAAAAAAAGTCCATACTCTATGATTCCATGTCTATAAAATAAAGAGGAGAAACTAATCTATGCGAATAGAAGTCAGGATAGCAATATTCTTGTGAGCAGAATAGTGACTGTAAAATAAGACTGGGGGTTTCTCAGGGTCTGGAAGAATTCTATTTCTTGATCTGAGTGCTGATTTCACATATTTATTCAGTAGGGTTGTGACAAAGACAAAGCAAGCAAGATGTCCAGGGGGCAAAATGTAAGGAGGTCCTTACTCTTGGCACCTGAGATCTTCCTTAAAATATGCTCCCTAGGCACCTTGCTTGCATCACCCTCATCCCAGCTCTAGTGTTCAGTTTGTGAATATTTATTGAGCTGTATCACTGATACATATGTTTTACTGTATGTTTATTATTCTTGAATTTAAAAGTGTTAAGAAAGTCTGGTCTATTTCACTCCATAAATGAAAATAAACTTTAAGTGGATTATAAACCTAAATGTAAAAAGAAAAGCATTAAAACTTTTAGAATAAAATATGAGAATATTATTAATGACCTTAGGTAGAGGATTTCTTAAGGATATCCAAAAGCACATATTAAAGGAAAAGATTAGACTATATTAAAATTAAAAACTTACATTGCTCAAAAGACCTCTTAAAGAAAGTGAAAGATGAGCCAGGCACAGTGGCTCATGCCTGTAATCCCAGCACTTTGGGAGGCTGAGGCGGACGGATCACCTGAGGTCGGGAGTTCAAGACCACCCTGACCAACATGGAGAAACCCTGTCTCTACTAAAAATACAAAATTAGCTGGGTGTGGTGGCACATGCCTGTAATCCCAGCTACTCAGGAGGCTGAGGCGGGAGAATCACTTGAACCCAGGAGAAAGAAGGTTACCGTGAGCTGAGATTGTGCCATTGCACTCAGGCCTGCTGGGCAACAAGAGGAAACTCTGTCTCAAAAAAAAAAAAAAAAAAAAAAAAAAGAAAAGAAAAAGAAAGTGAAAAGATGAGCCACAAACATGAAAAAAATATTGCAACATAAATGAGTGAAAAAGAATTATTACTAAGCACATATTTTTTAAACCATTGAGGAAAAGATAAATAACCTGAGAGACAAATGCATGAAAGACATGAACAGCTATTTAATATGAGCAAAATAGGATGGCCAAAGAAAAGATGCACAAACACACAAATAATCAGAGAAATTCAAATTAACATCATGAGGCATTACCATTTCATATCTAGCAGACTGGCAGGAAACATAAACCCTGACAATAAGTGTTGGCAAGAATGTAGGGTACTCTCCTTCACTGGGGGTAGCGAGTAAGTTGGTACGACCACTTTGGAAAACAGTTTTGCTTTACCTAATATAGTTGAAAATACACAAGCCTAGAACTGTTTCATATATTCCCAAGAGACACTCTTTGACAGGTGTACCAGGAGGTATGTACATGAATGTTTATAGCAATTAAAAAGAATGTCTATCAAGAGTAGAAAACTCTACAGCAGTGAAAATGAAAGAACAATAACACAATGGCTAAATCTCAACTTTGAAGTTCAAGCAAAAGAAAATTAAAGGAGAATACTCAGAGTATGATTACTTTGATATACAAATTTAAAACGAGTAGATGTACTCATCCATGGCAAAACTATAAAGAAGAGCAAGGAAAGGTTATCATGAAGGTCAGGAGAGTGGTTACCTTCAGAGGGCGTGCAATGAGGAAGGGACACGTGGTGGCTTCTAAGGGAGTAGCAATGTTCTACATCTTAGCCTAAATGGAGGACATATGGATGTTCTCATTATTCTTTAAACTGTACATATTTTTATGTAGTCTATTATATGTATATCTCAAAATAAAATTTTTAAAAGAAATAAAGATTCTACATATGTATACACATGTATGTATGTGTGTGTGTGTGTGTGTGTGTGTGTGTGTGTGTGTTCCATGTATTCCATGAAGGAAAACAAAAAGGAATCCTTAGTGGGAAAGTGACAGTAACCACTTTACTAGACTTACTAAATTCTCTCATATGTTTGGCTGGCTGAGAGAGAAACTTCAATCAACTAAGTTTACCACAAAGTCCATATAATACATATAGTTTCAACTAAATGTATGCTTGAGAAGGATTATCACATTTCTTATTTAATCTATTAGTTGAACTATGCGTTCTTAGGTTGTCCTGCTTTCATTTGATTAAAAAAAAAAAAGAAAGAAATTCTTAATTAAAAGGTAAAAATCTAACCAGGTGTGGTGTAATCCTAGCACTTTGAGAGGCCAAGGCAGGAGGATCACTGGAGCCCAGGAGTTCAAGATCAGCCTGGACAACATAGGGAGACCCTGTCTCTAAAAAAAATAAAAAATAAGCTGGGTGTGGTGGCGCACACCTATGGTTTCAGCTACACTGGAGGCTGAGCTGAAAGGATTACTTGGGCCCAGAAGGTCAAGGCTGCAGTGAGCTGTGATCAACTACTGCACTCCAGCACTCAAGCCTGGACAACAGAGCAAGACTCTTTCCCTAAATAAATAAATAAATAAATAAATAAATAAATAAATACCTAGCTGAGGCCCAGTGTGGTGTCTCATACCTGTAATCCCAGCACTTTGGGAGGTCAAAGTGAAAGGATTGCTTGAGCCCAGGAGTTTAAGACCAGCCCTGGTAACAGTGAGACCCTTGTCTCTACAAAAAATTAAAAAATAAAAAATTAGCCAGGTGTGGTGGCATGTGCCTATAGTCCCAGCTACTCGAGAGGCTGAGGTAGGAGGATTCCTTGGCAAGCTGAGGCACCAGTGAGTCATGGTTGCACCACTGTACTTCAGCCTGGGCAACAGAGCGAGACCCTGTCTCAAAAACAACAAGAACAACAACAAAAAAAACTAGCTGAAACATTCTTTTCTTAACCTTCATTTTTTTTCCCCTTTCTATGTTAGCTATATCTTCCTTGGGTGAAATTGGAAGAGGAAAATTGCACCAAAATCCAAAGTCATTTTTATGTCTAACATCGAGAAAGCACTAAAAATTTAAAAACAATCTGTTACTTGTTTGGTTATATTATTTACATTAATTGAATTAAAACTAGAACAACTAGAACCTCTTTTCAATGTATTAAACATAATACAGAGTTAAAGAACTAGAAGGAACCTTCAGAAGTTACCTAGTACAGTCACCTATCTTTAAATAAGACTCAAATTATCTTAAGCAAACAAGTTATCATTCTAATCTTAAAATATCTCCTGAAAAGATCTTATAGCATCCCTTCCTACTGAAAATTTTTTGTCTAACTCAGAACCCTTTTAACACAATGTTGTCATACAGTTAACATTATTATCCAGACAACCACCAGTTAAGGGTGTGGAGTTACCTAGGGCATAATGGGACCCTAGCAAGAATCTAACTCCAAGTCTCTATTGGTGGAAATGGGAGGATAAAGGGATCAGAGACCTGACTGTTTGGCTCCACTAGCTCCAACCCCACCAACCCCCTGACTTTCCCCAGTGAGTTAGCCCCAAAGCTTGTCTTCCTCCACATAACCAGAAGTTAACTATTATTTGTTTTCACGCTGACTCGGGTTTATCCATAAAATTTATCTTCCCCAACTCCTCCCATCCAATTATCTCAGTATCAAGAACTGATTTATACTTCCAATGAGTATGAATAAATACCTAGAATATTTTTCAACCCTAAAATTATGTCATTTACAAATAAAGGAAAGAAAACCTCAAATTTTCTAAATTTATGATATCTTTAATAAAATAAATATATTAGAAAATCTTTTTCCTCCTAGTTATGGACAATTTCATCTGATAAAGTATATTTCCTTTTAGAAGATTAAACTTTTTTAGATTAAAAACTCCTTGATGTCAGAGACTAGTTTTGTTTCAGTTTTTATAGCTGGCACACTCCACGTGCATGCCCTGGGTAGAAACTGAAAAATATCAATTGTGTTTAACTGACACGATAGAAAATCTCTAAAGCTTTGCCTTACATGGTCATTGCATTCTTCTTCCTCATCACAGTCTAGACCCTGATGGGCGATCTCAGTAGTGCTGTTCTCCCGAAACAGATTGTTCTCCAAATCAATCACTTTTGTAGCCTCTGTCATGACTTTTACTTTCATGCTATGAAAGCCAGTGGAGACAAATCCCACTTGCACGTTGATAGGCTCCTTGTCAAACAGCAGGAAGTGTGAATTTACCCCTTCTTTAAAACCGAGGGGTTGGTAATCATGTGGGGTCACTGCGAAATGAAAAGGGCAAAAAGCCATGAAAACTGAGTTTCAATACAACAAATCCGATTAATCTTTCATGTGTAGCAACAGACTTCTCTTTCAGATGCCTGCAAAATCCTTTTACTTATAGAAAATATTAGCTCAGCACTTAAGGAGGAATTTGCCTAAAGTTCTCTACCTACCTGCATTATAGTAGTGGAGTTTCATAGTAAGTACAACATTATTAGGAAGTGGCTCAAGGTCCTGCATCAGTATATACAATTTACGGATCAGTAGAACACTGGCTTTCTTAATATCTTCATTGTTTGTTCCACTTTCAAAGCTTGTACTGCTGCTATGACTACACAGAAAAAAAAGCATACTTTTTGATCATATACAATAGTGGCAATCTATCCCAAAAGGAACAAAACTTTTGACTATGTGAGTAAATATAAATTAAACATTAGTATATTTTGAGACTTTTTTAGAATGTAAATTAGGGGAGCGATGGTACTTTTTGCAATGTATATACAAAGAATTTCTTAAGTAGCAAATTCCCTAAAAGCATTTAAAATACGATCTTTTTAAAAATTTGATTTGAAAAAAATCATATACCACAACAGTAAGAACAACGAATTTGGAATTAGGTGACCTGGCATCTAATATCAGCTCTGCTGATAACTAGCTGAATGACCTTGGTCAAGTCATTTAGACACACTCTAGGTCAGTTAGCTCATTTGTGAGATAAGCGTAAAGACATTTCTACAACTCTCAAGCATAAAATCAATCACCAGCTCTGGGACTTTCTACCGTCTGATTATCTCGCAAAAGTATCCCTTCCTCACTCTTGCATTGATTACTACAGTGGCTATCTAACTATTTTTCCTGCTTTCCTTCTTGTCCACACTACAAAATATTCTCCATATCACCGCTGAAATAATATTACTAATAGGAAAATCTGTTCATGTCACCTTCTTACTTAGAATTCTTCTATTATATCCATCAGTTTTCAATCAAATTCAAAGACAGTGTGTATACAATTCCTTTCACAACCCGTCATATCCTCACCTCCATCCTCATCTGCAGCTATTGCCCAGTTTCCTCTCACTCAAAGTATTTGCATATGCTGTTCACTTTGCTTGTACTGTGCTTTTCCACTTTTCTTCCTGACTGTCCTAAATTTATCCTCTAATACCTAGCTCATGCGCAGACTCTTCAAAGAAGTCTTCTCTGATAATACCCTCATCTCATCCTCAGGATAACTATTTGTCCTTCTCTAGACTGTGAGTGGCTATATCTTTCATCTCCACAGTACAGAGTTTGGTGCCCAGCTATTCAATCAACATTTGTTGAATTAATGAATGAATGAACAATTTGGACTAAATTACCTTCCAATTCTAAACTTTGTTCATTTATCTCCAAAGTTTCCTTCCACAATTAGTCTCACATTTGAGTAGTTTCCAGGAGGGACCATGACTATAATATATTTACACATGGCTGTGCACATAGTTAGCTCTTAATATGAAAAATAACCCTAAGTAATTGAAATGTTGGATTTTTCCCTAACTGATCTTTGGAGACAGTGTGAATTCATGAAGCAAACATTTATTAAGTGAATACATTAGCTCCTTTTCCAATTTTGAACAACTTAAAATTCTGCCAACCAGGATTTAACCAATTCAAATGTAGGTAACCAGAATGAAGGGCTATAGATATGTAGCTCATGGGAGCCTCCAGGACACATCAGTAAAATCATATTCAGGACTCCCATTTAAACAAATGCCTATATTTCTTCTCTAGGAAATTAATAATATGCATCACCTTCTCTCCTTAGCATGTGAAAGATTTGGCCATTTTTGTTTTACAGCTTACCTCTTGGCATATGTGCCTTCAGAACAAAAGAGTTTAATCTGGCCATCAGTGTATATTTTTGAGTTTTGGAGAGTAAAGGTAACTTTTTATGTGAGAAAACGTGTATGAAAAGTGCTGCTGTATAAGCTGTAAAGTATTATACAAATGTTAGCTAATAAAAGGTAATATTTTAATTCTCATTTTTGGAACTGATTTTCTCTTCACATTCTAGTGCTGTCTGTAGGTTTTACAAATGGAAGGATAATCAAGGGAGTGAATCTTGGAGAAAAGTCCTCAAGCTCATGGCAAATGATGAGCCAGAGCTAATAGTAGGGAAAATTGAAAATTAGGCCATGTCTCTCATCAGTCTTTCCTTTCAAGGGCATCCATCCCCCTTACTTGGATTCCTCTACTATCCAGAGCTTTTCACCATCATCTGTACCTTCCACTACTGTGCCATCTCATCAGCAATACTTAGCTCTCCATCCCCCCTGGCAGGTCTGAATCCAAAAGCTACTGGGAGAAAAATAAACGTTGCTCTTCAATGTCCTTGTGTTTGCTATTTAACCCATTAGTAACCTAAAACTTGGAATTTTCGACTTCATAAGGAAACTGCAGTGCTTTCTAATCTTTTCATACAAGGACACAAGGAAATGATATTTATATGACATACTGGGGTAAGCAAATGAGAATATTTGTGCATACGGGCAAATAGTCCAAGGGTATTATCTACCCTAGGCACAGGCTGGCTATATCGAGGTGGAAAGGATCGCTATCTAGGCATAGCAGTTGAGAAACTTTGAATTAATGGCTAGACAGAGCCTTATGGAGTTATTCAATCAATAGCGTGTAGGCAACCTTATTGACATAATTTCTACCTTTGTGCTGCATGCCATTTTCTCTATTCCCACCAGCTTAATCCATGGATTTCAGGAATGTAAACAATTGTTGCAGCCCCTTTTTATAATAGTGGTTTTCTGTAGGGTTTGTGGGGAAATGTGTAAAGAAGTATAAGGCCTTTCTCTGGCCTCAAGAAGCTTATGTTTACCTCAATCCTATTTATTTCTCATGTTCATTAAGCAGTTAGATTCTACCTGTCAAAATCCATAGTGGCTCCTTCTTTCGTGTATTTGAATTTGAACTGGTACATCTCAGTCACCTTCTACAAAAACCAAAGGAAATAAAGAAAAAAAAGAATTTAGAAAAGAAATCCAGAATCTTACCTGATCATAAGTAAGGAACATTTTCACTGTATATCTACTGTACTTCCTATATAGCTGTTTGTTTCACAGTATCACATTATTCAAGAGTAATATTTCCAAATATAAAGACAACCTAGTTTTTCTCCTCCATGCTAAAAATAAATTAGATGAAAGATACTATTATTACCATTTTAAAGCTGGAAAAACAAAATCACAGAGTCAAATATCTAACCAAACTAGGTAAACAACAGTGGAAACAGTTGAGAAACCATTCATTCATGTAACAAATATTGTATTGAATGTCTACTTTGTGCCAGTCACTGGAGTCACAGCGGTGAACAAGACAGAAAAGGTCCCTGTTTTTCTGGAATATACATACAATCCAGTAGGGGAAATAGTCAGTAAATAAGTAAACAAATGAAATAAGCTAATTCCGATAGTGTAAGTGCTGTGAACAAGAAGCAGATGCTGTGATAGAGAGGTACATGAAGGGGACAAGTGCTGCTTTGGTTTGGAAGGGCCAAGGAAGGCCTTGCTGAAGAGGTGAGGTTTGAACTGAGCCTCAAGGGTCAGTTATGTGCAGATCTTGGGGGTGGGGTGCCTCAGGCAGAGGGAACAGCAATGCAAAGGCTCTGAAGTGGGGAGGGATGCCTCTTCTAGGGTCAGAGAGGAGGCCCAGTGGCTGGAAACCAGTGAGCGAGGGGGAGAACCCAGGAAATGAGGTGATAAAGGAGACTATGGGGCCTTGTTGGCTATGGTAAGGGGTTTGGATTTCATTCTAAGTAAGCTAGAAGTCTACGGAAGAGTTTTAAGCAGGTGAGTGATTTGTATTTTTTAAACATCATCTTGGCTCCTTTAAAAGTGCAGAGGGGAAGAAATAAAAACCATGAGAGCAATTAAGAGTCTACTGCAGTAATTCAGGGAAGACTATAATGGCAATAGGAAAATTACAAAAATTAGAAAAGGAGCCCTGATCTCTGATATCAAGTCTTGTTTTTTCAGTCCTGCACTGAAAACTAGATGCTACTACTGCTATCTGCTCTCCTCACTGTTAAGAAAACTAGAAATAAAGAGGGACAAATTTCCTCATAAGAGATAGATTCCATTTAAAATAAAATGAATGTCTGGCTGGGCATGGTGGCTCACGCCCATAATCCCAGCATTTTGGGAGACCGAGGTCATTTTGGCAGATCACCTGAGGTCAGGAGTTCAAGACCAGCCTGGCCAATGTGGGAAAACCCTGTCTCTACTAAAAATACAAAAATTAGCCGGGCGTGGTGGTGTGCGCCTGTAATCCCAGCTACTCAGGAGGCTGAGGCAGGAGAATCGCTTGAACCCAGGAAGCAGAGGTTGCAGTGAGCCTAGACTGTTCCTCTGCACTCCAGCCTGGGTGACAGAGCGAGACTCCATCTCAAAAAATAGAATAGAATAGAAGGAAAGAAATAATAAAATAAACTGAAATATAAAAATAAATAAATAAAATAACTAAATTAAATTTTAAAAATAAATAAATAAAATAAACATCTAGTAGTTGAAGCAAATGTTTGGCCCAGATATGTCATACAGTATGTCCACAGAGCTGGAGAAGTACTAATGACAAGTAAACAGTATAAGCTCAAAACAGAACACAAAAAATGTCCTTTATTCATCTGGTTCAGTATTTGATCCTTGACAATGTGAAAATGAGGATGTCAGACTGATCAGAAAAAGTCTCAGTGTTTCTGTTACTTTAAGCCTCCCAGCTCTGCTGATCTTAAACCTTAACATGAAACTTAATTACAGGTGATCAGATCTTGGGAAAATTGGCTCATGATGCTTAAACTCTAAGGAGATTGATTTGTAATGGAGTTAATTTTAAAAGATAAAAGTATTTTCTGAATAAGACAGCCTACTTGAGAAATCAAATCAAGTTCAGAAAACTGCTTTGTAAATACAATAGGAGAGACAGATGAGATTAGAGGAGCCTATAGCAACAGGTTCACTCCAGATAGGCGAGATGAACAGAGTCCTCTCTTAGCCAATGCTGGGTGTAATTGCTCTGCCAAGCAAACAATGCTCATTCTTCCTGCCTGCCCATGTTTCTCAATCAACTCTAGCTTTTTAATGCTCTGAGTGATCTTTTGTTTTTTTAAATTGTAACAAGAGTAGGTTGTTTTAGTAGTTGATAATTTTATTTACACTTTATTATTTGATCCCTGAAGCAACTAATAAAAGAGTTATAGTTATAATTGTTTTACAGAAGATGCTAATCCTTAATTAACTTCAGTCTGACTCTGGCTTATCTAGGAAAGTATATTTACAGCAGGCACTATTCTTAACACCTCATATAACACTTTTCAGACTAATGTGTTGCCTAATAAAGATGAACCATTGAACTGCTCATCAGTGGTTTCTATGAATCATACTAAATATAGTCACATAGGCCAAAGCAGCAGCAACATATGCAGCCTCTCCTTCTCCCTCCACATTCCAACCCATTGGCAAGACTTTTCAGGTCTATCTCTAAAGCAAATTGCAAGTCCATCTGATGCTCATTCTCTGTTCTGCAGCCAAAAGTAGTTTTTGAAAATACAAATCAGACCATGTCACTCATTTTCTTAAAAACCCCCATTAGCTTCTCACCACCCTTAAAATAAAATCCAAAAGTTATCTTGATTTGCAAGGCCCTACCCATCTGTCCCCTGTCTGCCTCTCTAACCTTATCTCTGGCCACTTTCCCTTGCACTCAGCTAAGCTCCAGGCTCATGGCACCTTTTCTATGCTCAAACACCCAAGATTCCTTCCTGTCTTAGGGCCTTTGCACAGCTATATTCTGGAACATGTGGTCTCCGGTTAATGATAATAATAATATTCAGGCACTGCCCTAAATATTTCACAAGTTCATCTCCTTGTGTAGCCAACACTCTGAAGTAGACATTAGTCTCATTATTGATGTAGCTAGTAAGTGGTAGAACTGCGATTTGACGCCAATGCCTGTGATGTTAACTGTGGTGTTATTTGGCCTGTCACATGCCATTGCCCTTCACAGACTTGCATGGGCTGACTCCTTCTGGTTATTCATCTCAGCTCAAACAGTAGCCTCTCAGGGATGCCTCCTAGGAACTGCCCAATCTAACACAGCCATCCAATCCCTCCTTCTTCATTCTCCACTTCAGCACTCTCTAGTACATCACCTGTTTAAAAAATTTTCTTCATAGCACTATGTCTATCTGAAATTGTTTGTACTAATTTTTATTTATTTATTTATTGTTTATCCTACCTCATAAGAACGTAGGCTTCTAGAGAGCAGGGATCTTGCCTATCCCATTCACCCCTGTGTTTTTATACCTTGAACAGTGCTAGGCACATAAAAGGAACCCAATTAATATTTGCTGAATGAATAAATATTTGGCCAAGGTAGAGTTCATGCTTACTTAGGATTTCATCCTACAACGATTTTTTTCTAAAATAAAGTATCTAAAAGTATATTGTGGCTAGAAATGGACACTACTTATAGTTAAGTTTATGAGGCAATCTATTAAAGGTGAGTGTTGGCCAAGTGCAGTGGCTCACACCTGTAATCCCAGCATTTTGGGAGGCTGAGGCAAGGGGATCCTTTGAGACCAGCCGGGGCAACATAACCCCACATTTGCAAAAATTTTAAAAAATAACTGGGCATTGTGGCGAACAACTGCAGTCCCAGCTACTTGGGAAGCTGAGGTTGGAGGATCGCTTGGGCCTAGAAGGTCAAGGCTGCCATGAGCCAAGATCACACCACTGAACTCCAGCCTGGGTGATGGAGGGAGAGCCTGTCTCTTAAAAAAATAAAAAATAAAGAGTATTGATCACCTCCAATGGTAAACAGGCACAAAGGAATAGATAGTGAAACCATAAGATTTATGCCTTCACCATATTCATATATAATAATTCTATATGGTCTTATATGCATTAAGCTGTGTAAATCTTATTTACATTTTGGCTTACATGTTTTACTAATACTTGCTACTCATTTTGTAGTGTGTTCCTATAGAAAAGCTACACTATCACTCTTCACTACTTTAGTACTTAGTTTACTTAGATGCTTAGTTACTTTCGTTGGTCATCTCTTTCATGAGATGGAGCAACCAGAACAAAACTTATAGCACAGAAGTACCATAACTTTGTAGAATGCTGAAAACTCAGTTGGCCTTCTGAACTAGGGACACACACTTGTTTGATTTAAGCCAGAGGTTCTCAATTGTTATACCATGACATACTCTTCACAAGAGTGCTGCAAATTTTAATCCAACTGTCTAGTGTATTTTTGCTTCAGGCATATATAAACATTGTTATTGTTTGTGCAATTTTGTTTAGGAAAGGATATACTTCCAGGCATATAACTCAAGAAACATGGCACAATATGAGATGAATGCCAAAGACGATGTTTATGTTAGAATGTTGTTTTTGAGTACATAAGAGAATGAGATCAGGGAGCTAAATAGTTTTATCAGTGACTTGATGCTAAATAGCAATCATAAAATAATGTAACTTGTGGATGCTTTTTAGGCCCTATGAACATTGCTATACCACAGTAGTAGTTACATTGTAATTATTACTGATTTGTTTGGGCTCCTTTGAGTGTTTTAGTATTACCCAATATGCTACTGAATTTTTTAGTAATAAAAAGTATACCATGAACACGTAGAGGTTAGGCATCACTATCTACCCATAAGGGGAACACTCTGTAAACATTCAAAATATTTTTTCCTGGGTCATAAATGATAGCTCAAAACTTACCACATAACCAGCTTTTGTTTCCTAACTTCATTATTATATATGCCTGCATTTCTTCCCACTCTGTAATACTTTTTTTGTAATTAAACTCAACTTGCTTAGCATTTCACTACCCCCAAAAAACACTGGTTTCAAACTAGGAAGTTTTCATGCATAAGAAAACATGATAAATACTACACTAAGAAAATGATCAATTTAGTAACTATCAGAAGGTTTTATTTTGGGAAACTTCCCTTCAAACTTACAGTGTGGTGGGGAACCATTTTGAAATGAAACAATAGACAAAGAAATAAAAGATAGAACTAGTTTGGGCATTGAGGAATTGCTACCTACCGTATGTAAAAGTTTTCTTACCCCTTGCTTAAACAGCTACATGTCATCTTGCAAAGAAAGAATATTAAGAGCCAAAAATGCATAATTTAGTCTAGAATAGCACCAGTTAGGCTAAATATGTAGGCTTAGAGAAGGAAAATTGAAAGTAAAGAAAAAGGAAAGAAAGCTAGGAGAAAGACAAAGAGAGTAAAGTGAGAAGAGAACAGAAAGTTTCTCCCTCAATTTCTGTCCCACAGCCACATTCAAAGTGGCACAAGTAACTATTATGTGTCCAAGACTATGAGACAAGACTCTTGTCCTCAAGAATTCACAATCTGGGCCAGACATGCTGGGTCATGCCAGTAATCCCAGCACTTTGGGAGGAGGAGGCAGGAAGATCACTGAGGTTAGGAGTTCAAGACCAGCCTGGCCAACACGGTGAAACCCCATCTCTACTAAAAATATAAAAATTAAAAATATAAAAAATATAAAAATTAGCCGGCCATGGTGGTGCATGCCAGTAGTCCCAGCTACTCAGGAGGCTGAGGCAGGAGAATTGCTAGAAGCCTGGGAGGCAGAGCCAGCCTATGTAACAGAGCGAGACTCCATCTAAAAAAAGAAAAAAGAAAAAAAAAGAAGAATTCACAATCTGGTTGAGGAGATTAAGTAATCAATATGAATCAATTGAGAGTGTTAAATTGTGGGGTTCTGCTGGAAAAAGAATTTAAAGAAAGAAGTTAGTATAGACCAAATAGCCAAAGAGGTTTACATATAAGATATGAACATAGTTGGCCTTGAAGATGAGTCGGATTCCCTAAACAGAGGGAAGAAATCTAAAGAGAGAAGTAAAGAGGTAAAGCTCTGAAAATCTATAAAAACACGAAAAGAGGGAGAATTTAGTTGGCAAAAATGAAAATTAGAGTTATGCCATATCTCATTTATTTTCCCAAAAGGCCATAAACAGAAAAGATTCATAATCAGTTTAAATAAATAATAAAATGTGGTTTTATATGACTCGGAAAAAAAGTTCATAAAAATTAAATTTAAAAAATTTTTAAGAAAAAAATGTGGTTTTATACATTTATACATTAAGAGACTCTTAATGCCAACAGGTTAGGGAATAAGCTCAGTTCTTCTCAATGCCTTTTTTCCCCAATACCCTTACATAGTTTTTGAAAAATCTCATAATAAGAGATTGGTCAAGTTTAGAGTAAAATATACTGAAAGAGCCCACTATTAGTTCCTCTGCTCATATGGTAGTCTAGTAACAAAATCTATAGCCTCAACTCAGAAAAACATCTTAAAATATAATATACATATACTACCCACCTATACGTTTGTGTGTGTTCTTACCTCAGATCCCATGGGATCTGTGTAAAGCTGTATAAGGGAAAATAAACATCATTTAATTTCTGGAATTTACTAGATTACTCCTCATCAAATACCTTTTTTATATAGAGTTCAATTTGTGTTCTATTAGTTGAGTACAGACATATATTTTAAGCTAGAGATAGGATATGCTTATTTTGTGAATGTAGAGTCTTTAGAATATTCTGTGAACACTGAATAAAAGGAAATTAATAATGAAGGATTCATAATTACCATGACTAAGCTACAAATAAATTCTAAATAATCCATTATGGTTTAAAATTTGTTCAATAAATCATAGATCTAAGACTCTCAGTGGTATCTTCTCATTTTCTATTCTTAACTATGTATAACATGTTAAACTCAGAGGTATACAAAATTTCAAAAGAGTCTACCAAACTTCAAAAACAAAAAATTTGGAGTCTGTAAAGTAACTAAAAAAATAAAATCCTGAGAGCCAATAAATGAAGCAGATAGTATAGCCTATACATTTTCCCATGTATTATACCAAAGAAATATACAATTCATAATCTTTTATTAAACTTCTGATAGATCCTATGTTTTTAATTCCAAGACAGATTAAAAAAAAAAAGTCAGGGAGGAAGAGGGAGAGTACTGTTTTAATGTTTCACTTGCCAAAAGACAATGAAATAGAGACAGAGGCTTGGTCTTTAAATGAGTGTGTACTTACTGTCAGTACTGCCATACGTAGCTTCAAGAGAAAGAAAAAAAAACTATTATTATTACATACTTGCACCTATATTATCATTCTTTTCAATAGACTAATTAAAATATTATTTCAGAGAGGTTCGAAAGATTTGGGTAGGAAAAAAATATCCAGAAGGCCAGAAGAAAAAGGATACAGTCATCCCTCAGTATCTGAGAAGGAATTAGTTCCAGGACTCCCTATGAATACCAAAATCCATGTGTACTCAAGTACCTCAGGGAGTATATGAAAAGTCAGCCTTCCATATCTGGGTTTCACATCTACAGATACTGTATTTTCCTTTTTCTTTTTTTTTGAGACAGAGTCTCACTCTGTCACCCAGGTTGGAGTGTTGTGGCATGATATCGGCTGACTGCAACATCTGTCTCCCAGGTTCAAGGGATTCCCCTGCTTCAGCCTCCTGAGTAGCTGCGATTACAGATGCCCGCCTCAATGCCCGGCTAATTTTTGTATTTTCAGTAGAGATGGGGTTTTGCCATGTTGGCTAGGCTGGTCGTGAACTCCTGACCTCAAGTGATCCTCCCATCTTGGCCTCCCAAAGTGCTGGAATTACAGGCATGAGCCACTGTGCCCAGCCTGTAGTATTTTCTTTTTCTTTCTTTCTTTCTTTCTTTTTTTTTTTTTTTTTGACAGAGTCTTGCTCTGTCACCAGGCTGGAGTACAGTAGCGTGATCTTGGCTCACTGCAACCTCCTCCTCCCGGGTTCAAGCGATTCTCCTGCCTCAGCCTCCTGAGTAGCTGGGATTACACGCATGCACCACCACGCCCAGCTAATTTTTGTATTTTTAGTAGAGACAGGGTTTCACCATGTTGGCCAGGATGGTCTCGATCTTCTGACCTTGTGATCCACCCACCTCGGCCTCCCAAAGTGTTGGGATTACAGGCGTGAACCACTGCCCTGGCCCCGTCCTGTATTTTCAATCCACCTTTGGTTGCAGATGTGGAAGCCACAGATACAGAGGGCCAACTGTATTTATTGAAAATAATCCATATATAAGTGGACCTGTGAAGCTCAAACCCATGTTGTTCAAAGGTCAACTGTACTTTTTTCCAGGAAGGTCAAAATTAATTTTATGCTAAAAGTATATTATATGAGGCCGGGTGCGGTGGTTCACGCCTGTAATCCTAGCACTTTGGGAGGCCAAGGTGGGTAGACTGCCTGAGCTCAGGAGTTTGGGATCAGCCTGGGAAACATGGTGAAACTCTGTCTCTACTAAAATACAAAAAATTAGCCAGGCATGGCGGCTTGTGCCTGTAATCCCAGCTACTTGGGAGGCTGAAACAGGAGAATTGCTTGAACCTGGGAGGCAGAGGTTGCAGTGAGCTGAGATCACGCCATTGCACTCCAGCCTGGGCGACAGAGCGAGATTCCATCTCAAAAAAAAAAAAAAAAAAAAGTATATGCTCACAATTCGATAGCAATTTTTTTGCATTATAAAGGGGAATTTCCTAGATATCTGAAAACTGATTCTTTCCTATAATTTTTTCTTTTTTTCTCTCCATTTCTGAAAGACTAGCATTTTTTAATTGATATATAATAGTTGTACATATTTTGGGGGTACATGTGATATTTTGATACCTGTATATAATGTGTAATGAGTTCAACTGTATTTTAAATCATTTCTAGATTACTTATAATACTTAATACCATGTAAATGCTATATAAATACTTGTCACACTGTATTTTTTATTTGTATTATTTTTATTGTTGTACTGTTATTTTTTCTAAATATTTTCCAGTTGGTTGAATCTGTGGATGTAGAATGCTCTGATACATGGAGGGCCAACTGTACTAACTATTCACTCATTCAAGTGAGAGTCCATTACGTACACAGGGCTCTGCTAGAGACGAGAGGGACACAAAAAAGATAACTATCCCTACCCTTAAAAAGTTATATTCTAGTTCTGGAGGCAAAAGGTATACAAAATAATTCATTATTACTAAATAATTAAATATGCAACAAGTACCTCAAAAAGTGTCCCATTTGAAACTAATCTACTAAAGTAAAAACATCTTATATGTCTATAAAGTCCTTGTCCTCTCTACATATACACTACTATGAACAGATTATCTCTGCTTGAAAGAGTAACATATAGAGATAGAAATATAATCAAGCCAATGATAATTGTTTTTAAAAACTAGAATACAAATCAGAAAATTTCAGGCCAGTCACAGTGGTTCTTGCCTGTAATCCCAGCACTTTGGGAGCCCAAGGTGGGCAGATCATTTGAACCCAGGAGTTCAAAGCCAGCCTGGGAAACATGGTAAGATGCCATCTCTACAAAAAGTAAATAATTAGCTAGGCATAGTGGTGCACACTTGTGGTCCTAGCTACTTGGGAGGCTGAGGCAGGAGGATTGTTTGAGGCCTGGAAGTTGAGGCTGCAGTGAGCTGTGATTGTGCCAATGCACTCCAGCCTAAGCAACAGAGTGAAACCCTATAAGAAAGAAAGAGAGGGCCGGGCATGGTGGCTCACGCCTGTAATCCCAGCACTTTGGGAGTCTGAGGCCGGAGGATCACAAGGTCAGGAGTTTGAGACCAGCATGGCCGACATGGTGAAACCCCGTCTCTACTAAAAATACAAAAAATTAGCCAGGTGTAGTGGCAGGCACCTGTAATCCCAGCTACTCGGGAGGCTGAGGCAGGAGAATCACTTGAACCCGGGAGGCAGAGGTTGCAGTGAGCCAAGACCACGCCACTGCACTCCAGCCTGGGCAACAGAGAGAGACTCCAAAAAAAAAAAAGAAGAAAGGAAGGAAGGAGGGAGGGAAGGAGGAAAGGAAAGAAAGGAAGGAAAGAGAGAAAGGAAGAAAAAGAAGAAAGGAAGGAAGGAAGGAAAGAAGGAGGGAGGGAGAGAAAGAGAGAGCGAGAGAAAGAAAGAGAAAAGAAAAAAAATTTCAGAACCATAATTTCATATCAAAGGACTAAAACTTTACTGCCACTGTGTGGCCATTTTGATTACTGCATATAAACTCATACATTACTTAATTGAGTTCATTTATTTATGCATTCATTCAAAAATAGACATGGTCCCAATCTCAGGGAACATTTAGACTAGCAGGGGAGAACAACGTTAAACAACAAAAAAATAGCAAAGATAGCTACATCATTAACATTGTGTTCATTGCTATGAAGAAGCAGCATGGGATGCTATGAGAACATGAAATAAAGGGACCATCTAGGCTAGGGAGGAGGGTGTCAGGGAGGGAAGTATTTACTTCCCTAGGGAAGTAAATATTTAAGCTGAGACTTGACAGATAAATTGGAGTTAGCCAGGCAAGGTGTATGGGGCAGGGGAGAGAAGTTTCCAGGCAAGAGGAACAATATATGCAAAGGTAAAAGGAGCTTGGCATGTTCTAGATTCTTTGTGTGGCTTGAACATGGGAATGACAGTGATGCCCTGGACAGGAAGATAGGGATCATACAGGCCTTGCAGACCATGTGAAGGACCCTGAACTTTATTTTAAAAGCTGTGGAAAATTTTTAGGCAAAAGAATGACATGATCAGACTTGGGTTTCTGAAAGTATGCAGTGTGGACAGTGGGTTGGAATGGTGAGGGATTGAGAATGCGAATAAGGAAACAAGCTAGATAGCTATATACAATATAGTCTCTTTTTTTACAATAATTATCTGCAACACTGATATGTACTTATTTTGAAGAATTCAAGCATAATATAAAGTACAAAATAAGTATAAAAATCACCCAAAATTGAAACCCCATCTCTACTTTAAAAATACAAAAATTAGCAAGGCATGGTGGCACGTGCCTGTAGTCCCAGCTACTTGGGAGGCTGAGGCAGAAGAATTGCTTGAACTCGGGAGGCAGAGGTTGCAGTGAGCCGAGATCACACCACTGCACTCCAGCCTGGGCAATAGAGCGAGACTCCGTCTCAAAAAAAAAAAAAATCACACAAAATTTCATAACTAGAAATAATCATGCTCTTACAGGGGAACACCTTTCAAGATCTCTAGATACTCAAATCTGATTTTACTCAAACTATTTTCATTTATTTATTTATTTATTTATTTGAGATGAAGTTTCGCTCTGTCGCCCAGGCTGGAGTGCAGTGGCATGGTCTCAGCTCACTGCAACCTCTGCCTCCTAGGCTCAAGCAATTCTCCTGCCTCAGCCTCTCGAGTAGCAGGGATTATAGGCACCAGCCACCATACTCAGCTAATTTTTTGTATTTATAGCAGAGACAGGGTGTCACCATGTTGCCCAGGCCGGTCTCAAACTCCTGGGTTCAAGAGATCCACCCGTCTCAGCCTCCCAAAGTGCTGGGATTACAGGTGTGAGCCACTGTGTTCGGCCTCAAACTACTTTTAAAACATATCATACCAGCTACAAGATCACCTGAGGAAAGTTATAAAAGATTAACAACTGAAAAACAATATAAATACTATTTACTTAAGAGACTAAGTCATCTATCTAAAATTTTGTCTTTTGATCTCTCCAAAACAAGCTATTTTGACTGAGTCAGTCATACAGGTAGACATTTAGTAAAATAAATTTATCAAACTAGCTAGATACTCTTTGTACATTATACTGCTATTTTAGTACATGTAATACTTATAATTTTTTATTTAAGAAGTGACCCTATTATATTATGACCTCCCTGGGAGTGGAATCACATTTTACTCTCATTATTATCTCATCCAATGCTTAGGCACAGTGTCTGGCACAGATTAAATAGCCAATGTATAAAGAATGAATGTTTAACACATACATAGTATTTGTTATGTGCCAGGCATTGTTCTAACCATTTTAGATCAGTGGTTTTCAAATTATGGTCCCTAGACCAGCAGTCAAGAGCATCTCTTATAATTTGTCTGAAATGCAAATTCTTACATCAGAAATTTTGAGGTGAGGCTTCACAACATGTGTTTTAACAAGTCCTCCAGGTGATTCTGATGCAAGCTAAAGTTTGAGAACCACTGCTTTAGATTATTAACTCATTTAATTATCAAATATCCTTAACAAGTGGATTCTATTATTATCCCCATCTTATATGCAAAGAAACTAAGGTACCAAAAGGTAGGTTACGTGCCAAAGGTCACACAGGTGTTAAGTGACAGAACTGGGATTCTTCAGACCATCTGACTCCAAAACTTGAAGTTCTAACTATATTGTACTGCCCCTCAATGAGGAACAGTCAGGAAATGCTGCTAAATGAATGGATGAAGGGGAATGAGTGAGCACTGTTCAGTATAACAGTGATGGCCGTCTCCCCCTCTCAATCTGTCCAAATATTCAGGGCCTCCAAAGCTCAGAGGCTATTTTCTCTCAAAAGATTTCTCTCATGTTTCTCACAGGGTATAGTGCCTCCTTTCCCATACTTCCCATTGCATATGATCATTATCTGTCTTTTGGCATGCATCACTTTCTAATGAGCATTATAGGGGTGATTGAAATATCTCTGATATTTTTACATAAAAATATCAAATTGATATAAAAAAATCAATATATAGTCTGGGTGAAGTGGTTCATGCCTGTAATCCCAGCATGTTGGGAGGCTGAGTTGGGCAGATCACTTGAGGTCAGGAGTTCGAGAGAAGCCTAGCCAACATGGTGAAACCCCATCTCTACTAAAAATACAAAAATTAGCCGAGTGTGGTGGTGCATTTCTGTAATCTCAGCTACTTAGGAGGCTGAGGCAGCAGCATCGCTTGAACCTGGGAGGCGGAGGTTGCAGTGAGCCAAGTTTGCGCCACTGCACTCCAGCCTGGGCAACAGAGTAAGACTCTGCCACACACTCACAAAAAAATTAATAAATAAACATGTAAAGCCCAATATGACATAGATACTGGCCAATCAGAAAGGATGCCAATTTGGCTCTAGAGCTGGCCTCCTGGAAGCAACGTTCGGACTAGATATTAACCCTTTGGTTACTGGATTTTGGAGTGTTCTGGAGAGATCCCAAAAGAGACACTGTAAGGTGATGGGGAGGATATTGATGGGGAGCCACATGAGGTCTCAGAAAAGTAGCTATTCACCATTCAATACAGAAATATTTCAATATTTTAAGAGCAGATACAGCTGAGTCAGTATGTAACAGCTGATCATCAGCCCTGCATATGAATTCACTTATCTTCTGCCATGGTTACAAGCTCTTTCCCACTTCTGTTTTATCTTTGTATCCCTAGGTCCCTCTGGTCAGTGTTGAATAAATCATAAGTAACAAATGTGCAGTGGAAATAGAAATGTATGAATTTGCTAAATAATCCAGTGTAAGGCTTCCTGACCTCAAGATTTCTTAAAGGAACAGGAATTGAGGAGTAAAAAGAAGACATAGATGGAGAAAGTGGGGAAAAGCAGTGGCGGAAATTTCAAATACTTACAGGCCTTGGCTGTCACTGGAGAGCAGCAGCCATGGTTCTGCTTTATCCTACAGCCATGGGCCTCAACAAGGGCCACAAGGTGACCAAGAATGTGAGCAAGCCCAGGCCCAGCTGCCATCGCAGGTGCCTGACCAAACACACCAAGTTCATGCGGGATATGATCTGAGAGGTGTGTGGCTTCACCCTGTATGGGCAGCATCCCATGGAGTAGCTCAAGGTCTCCAAGGACAAAAGGGCCTTCAAGTTCATCAAGAAAAAGGTGGGAACACACATCCGCACCAAGAGGAAGTAGGAGGAGCTGCGCAATGTCCTGGCCACCATGAGGAAAGCCGCTGCCAAGGACTGAGCCCCCTGCCTTGCCCTGCCCTCTGTTCATAATAAAAGCTTCACAGAAAAAAAAAGAAAAAGAGAAATTTCATTTATATACATCTTGTCTCTTCAACTAGGACTAGAGCCTCCATTTTGTACACCCTTCATAGCTGTCTTGGGCAGCATGAAAGATCAGATGCACTTAAAATTTAAGCTGTATTTTTTTAAAATTTGAGGTACAATACTAGCTATTGTAAGGGAATAGATTATACTTATGAACAAAATATAGTTACCAAAATAACTAAGACAGAATAAAAACCAATTATTCAAGTCAATTTTTTCCTTTCATATCTGCAAATTGAATCACCACTATTCTAAATTTGTTCAATGCACTAAATGCCAGATTCTTGTCTCTCCTGTCCCACATCCTGTGGATCTCTTCCAGTGACTTCAGAGGAAACTCTGTGGTCAAAAAATGTGAGTATGTAAAAGAGAAAAAATGAGTTTTCTTTCTAATTGATGCAAAGGAGACAACAACAGGACAATAAAGACATAAGATAAGAAATTAGTTTATGGATGCAAACGTAGACACTTATACTGTTAAACACAAAAACAAAATAAATGTCTAATTTCTTTTTTTAAAGAATAAAAGACAAGCCTTTGATTCCAGTGTAAGTGTAAAAACATTCTTACGTATCTCTTTTCCAAAGCATCAAAACAACCTTGAATCCTGTCAAGAAATAAATGTTTGATGTCAATTGGACCATATGCAAATCCAAAAAAATTCCAAGTACAGAATTCATTTGCACTTTTTGCTTTGATGTACATTAAGTTGATAACCATCTTACCTTTCCCATTTAATCATTTTTTTAAACTTCCAGCAACTTTTAATATGATGATAGACCTTTATAAGTAATAGTGAGCTATTTTGTGGTAGTGAACCAAATTTTTTTGGATCCCATGTTTAGTACACTGACACACATATGATGAATTATCAATTTTTAAAATCTGTGTGGGTACATAATAGGTGTATATATTTAATATTTTATCACAGTTTTTATTTTTATACAAGTCAATTTTCTTTCAAAAAGCTAAATCAGTGTCTTAAAATTATATTGAATAATTCTTACAAATTCCTAGAAAATTATTTTTAAAAAGAAAGAGGGAAAGTAGGTCAGGGCAGTGGCTCACACCTGTAGTCCCAGCACTTTGGGGGGCCAAGGTGGTTGGATCATGAGGTCAAGAGATCGAGACCATCCTGGCCAAGATGGTGAAACCCTGTCTCTACTAAAAATACAAAAATTAGCTGAGCGTGGTGGCATGCACCTGTAGTCCCAGCTACCCGGGAGGCTGAGGCGGAGAATCACTTGAACCTGGGAGGCAGAGGTTGCAGTGAGCCGAGATTGCGCCACTGCACTCCAGCATGGGGGACAGAGCGAGACTCCATCTCAAAAAAAAAAAAAAAAAAAAAAAAAAAAAAATCAAAAACAGAAAAAGAAAAAGAAAGAGGGAAAGTAGAAAAGAAGAAATGGTTTTTTAAAAAATGATCTTACTAAATAAAGTCTTATGGGTAATTTCAGCCATGATAAAAATAATGTTGTTCAACTTTTATAGAATTTCTATTACTTACCATCTGATAATATGCAGTGACCCGGGACATTTTTTATCTTCTCGGAGGATTTTTAAACTGAGGTCTACAAAAACAGAAACACAGTCTATTTTTATCTACTAAATGACTGCTGTACTGAAATTGTCCATGCTAAATAGGGTATTTCCTTTAACTATTTTATTTATGTAATTTATTTAGTTTTATAGCTTATAAAAACATTTTGGATCTCTAAACATCTACTTTAAAAATAAATCCTATGTTAAGAAGTAGCTTGGTCTCAATTTCGATTACAGTAAGGATTTTCCCCCTTCTACAATGTAGCACAACTGAGTTGGCTCCAAAATCAATTTGTGTCCTTTCTTTGCCGCTGTAGAATTCTAAGTAATTATGAGGTAGTATTGAGACTATCTCCATTGACCAACTTAAAATATACACCTAAATATCAGTCATTTCCCTGTTATTTCTCTCCCTCTCATTGAAAAGGAAGGAATAAAAAATTTCACACGGATTATTCTCAAATATTTATTTTATCCGAAATCTACCTTTTTATACTTAAGAAGAATAGGAATATCATATTAAGAGTTTGGGTTTAGGCCGGGTGTGGTGGCTCACACCTGTAATCCCAGCACTTTGGGAGGCTGAGGCAGAAGGATTGCTTGAGCCTAGGACGTCGAAACCAGCCTGGGCAACCTAGTGAAACCTCACCTCTAAAAAAAATAATTAAAAAAATTATCTGGGCATAGTGGCACATGCCTATACTCCCAACTACTCAGGAAGCTGAGGCAGGAGGATCACTTGAGGCTGGAAGGTCGAAGCTGTAATCCTGTAATGATCATGCCGCCACACTCCAGCCCGGACAATGAAATGAGACTCCCTCTCAAAATAAATAAATAGAGTTTTGGTTTAAAGTAGTCCAAGATCAATCACTGATTTATGTGTGATTTTGCATAAGCAACTTCACCTTTTCGTATTGTTTTCCTATACTAAAATTGATGTTACCTGTATCTCTATTGAGGGATATGAAAATTATCCCATGTTGATATAACATTCAGAAATTACAAGAGAGTGACACAGGAGTATTAAGCATTTTTATGATGTATATTACTTTAAGAACAAACATTGAAAGGGAGACATAAAACTTCCACAATAACTGTCACAAAAAATAAAGCTATAGGGAATGGTATCATTGCCGTTGCCTAGGGTAGTGACTGGCACACAATATGTGCTTATTATCAAAAATATGTCTTTCTCAATTCTATGTTCTAGACAAGAGGGAAAATTACAAATATATGTTAGATATAAACACATTCACTATTACAAGTTTGTATCTCATAGACCAAAAGATGTCATAATACAAATGAGGTTGTCATGATTGCAAATATCATGTTTATGTGCTTATAGCACACATGCATTTTATTGATGCTCTTACATTACTTAAGATAATTTTTTTTTTTGAGACAGAGTCTCACTGTATCACTCAAGCTGGAATTCAGTGGTGCAATCACAGCTCACTGTAGCCTTAACCCCCCAGGCTCAGATGATCCTCCCACCTCAGCCTCCAGAGTAGCTGGAATTACAGGCACTCACCACCATGGCCAGCTAATTTTTTGTATTTTTTATAGAGACAGGGTTTCACCGTGTTGTTCAGGCTGGTCTTGGATTCCTAGGCTCAAGCAGTCTGCCCACCTTGCCTTTCAAAGTGTTATGGTTACACTTTGGATTACAAGCCTGAGCCACCATGCCCAACCAAGAGAATTAGACTGAAATGAGGCCAAGGTATATCATTAAATACAGATGTAAGAAATTTAAAATTAGATTTTGAAAAATAACATCTTACAAGGCAACTTGTAGCTCTCTATGTTTATTTTCCAAATGACAGTTCCTATTTTAGTGACAAGTCAACAAGATTCACAATCCAGCTTTTTTTTTTTTTAATACTTTAAGTTCTGGAATACATGTGCAGAAAGTGCAGGTTTGTTCATGTGCCATGGTGGTTTGTTGCAACCATCAACCCATCATCTAGGTTTTAAGCCCCACATGCATTAGGTATTTGTCCTAATGCTATTCCTTCCCTTGCCCCCCACCCCCCTACAGGCTCCAGTGTGTGATGTTCCCCTTCCTGTTTCCATGTGTTCTCATTGTTCAACTCCCACTTATGAGTGAGAACATACATAACACAGGTTTTCTGTTCCTGTGTTAGTTTGCTGAGAATGATGGTTTCCAGCATCATCCATGTTCCTACAAAGGACATGAACTAATTATTTTTCATGGGTACATAGTTTTCTATGATGTATATGTGCCACATTTTCTTTATCCAGTCTATCATTGATGGGCATTTGGGTTGGTTCCAAGTCTTTGCTATTGTAAATAGTGCTGCAATAAACATATGTGTGCATGTGTCTTTATAATAGAATGATTTATAATACTTTGGATATATACCCAGTAATGGGATTACTTGGTCAAATGGTATTTCTGGTTCTATATCCTTGAGGAATTGCCACACTGTCTTCCACAATGGTTGAACTAATTTACACTCCCACCAACAGTGTAAAAGCATTCCTATTTCTCTACATTCTCTCCAGCATCTGTTGTTTCCTGACTTTTTAGTGATTTCCGTTCTAACTGGCATGAGATGGTATCTCATTGTGGTTTTGATTTGCATCTCTCTAACGACCAGTGATGATGAGCTTTTTTTCATATGTTTGTTGGCTGCATAAATGTCTTCTTTTGAGAAGTGTCTGTTCATATCCTTTGCCCACTTTTTGATGGGGTTGTTTTATTCTTGTAAATTTGTTTTAAGTTCCTTGTAGATTCTGGATATTAAACCTTTGTCAGATGGATAGATTGGAAACATTTTCTCCCATTCTGTATGTTTCCTGTTCACTCTGATGACAATTTCTTTTGCTGTGCAGAAGCTCTTTGGTTTAATTAGTTCCCATTTGTCTATTTTGGCTTTTGTTGCAATTGCTTTTGGTGCTTTAGTCATGAAGTCTTTGCCCATGCCTATGGCCTGAATGGTACTGCCTAGGTTTTCTTCTAGGGTTTTTATGGTTTTAGGTATTACATTTAAGTCTTTAATCCATCTTGAATTAATTTTTGTATAAGGTGTAAGGAAGGGGTCCAGTTTCGGTTTTCTGCGTATGGCTAGCCAGTTTTCCCAGCACCATTTATTAAATAGGGAATCCTTTACTCAATGCTTGTTTTTGTCAGGTTTGTCAAAGATCAGATGGTTGTAGATGTGTGGTGTTATTTCTGAGGCCTCTGTTCTGTTCCATTGGTCTATATATCTATTTTGGTAGCAGTACCATGCTGTTTTGGTTACTGTAGCCTTGTAGCATAATTTGAAGTCAGGTAGCATGATGCCTCCAGCTTTGTTCTTTTTGCTTAGGATTTTCTTGGCTATATGGGCTCCTTTTTGGTTCCATATGAAATTTAAAGTAGTTTCTTCTAATTCTGTGAAGAAAGTCAATGGTAGCTTGATGGGAATAACATTGAATCTATAATTTACTTTGGGCAGTATGGCCATTTTCATGATACACAATCCAGCTTTTTAAACAAATAAGATTTTTGAAAACTTGTTGAGTCCTAGGTACTTGGGTTTTTTGTTTTTGTTTTTGTTTTTGTTTGTTTTTCTGAGATGAAGTTTTGCTCTTGTCACCCAGGCTGGAGTGCAATGGCACGATCTTGGCTCATTGCAATATCTGTCTCCTGGGTTCAAGTGATTCTCCTGCCTCAGCCTCCCAAGTAGCTGGGATTACAGGTGCCCAGCATAATGCCCAACTAATTTTTGTATTTTTAGTAGAGACAGTGTTTCACCATGTTGGCCAGGCTGGTCTCGAACTCCTGAACTCAGGTGATCCACTCGCCTCGGCCTCCCAAAGTGTTGGGATTACAGGCATGAGCCACCATGCCTGGCTGGTACTTGTTTTTATAATAAGAGAAGAAAAGGGGCCAGAAACAGCTTGTAGTATAAGACAATAAGATGATAAGTTTAAGAGCACTGAAACAAAAGGAATGAAAGTAGAAGACCTGGCAATTGAGAAAAAAGCCAGAACTGATTAGAATAATAATTATTTTAATATCCATGTTAATCAACAAGTGAGTTTGGCTTTTTTATCCCCAGTATTTTTATATACGTTAACAGGGAGAAAAGTTTTTCACCTGGTTCCTTTGAACTTCCTCAATGCTAAAGTGTACCTTAAAGAATAAATTCAATTGAGGCACAACGTAGCGCAAATCTACAGCATTCAAATAGATTTTGATCTAGCTGTTGCTTTTATACTGGACTTGTCCAAACATTTCTTTTTTCTTCCATCTGTCACCTGGCGTCTAGCTAGGAACTAGTAATTCCTATAAGTAAAATCACTACACACAGTAAAATTAAAATGGAAAATGGATTAGCAAATTGGTCTTGAAGAACAGGCCCTTAAGTTGGAATTAGCACACTTTGTGAGACGTGAAAGGTTTATTCCTGCTAAATAGAGAAAGGGGCTACAACAGCCAAAGAGACTAGTTAGTTTAACTTTACCATCCAAATGGCGTTCTCCATAAGAGCTCTCTGGAAACAGGCCCCTTAGGTATGTTATACATGAGATGGAAGTAGCAAAAAGTTTCTTCACCATTTTCAATGACTCATGCTCATTAGTGATTTGGGATGGGAAAACTGTTTCCTGGAAAAACAACGGAGGTGAAAAAAGATTAGTATTATTTAATATATTCAGTTTAGCACATCATTACCACATATATGATGAAAAGATTTCTCAGGACTTCAAATTTGATATCTTTGAAGGTAATCAAAAAGAAATAGCGCTTTGAATATTACATTAAATTAGATCTTCATAGGCAAGGCAGAGCAGAAGGCAGAAACAATTACCCAAGTAATTCAAGACTAAAACAATTTATTTCACAATGATCCATGAAACTGGAGTTTTACTATGATTATATAATCTTCTTCCCTCTCATACACTCCTCAGACCCCGCTGCAATCTGGATTTTCCTCCTTTCCTTTCTAAACTATTCTCTCCAAAGTCACCAAGTACAATCCTATAGTTGACCTCTTCTCATTCCTCATAATATGTAACTTCTTTATATTATCTGACACTGTTACCCACATACTCTCTTTTCCTCTCCAAGGTGCCACAACACTACTTTGTTTTTTCACCTATCCGTACATATCTGTCTCAGTCTCTTTTATTTTTTCCAGTTGTTCTACTCTTTAAATATTGGTTATCCCCCAGGATTCTGTCTTCAGGCTTTTTCTCTTTTATAGCTGTCTTCTTGAATAATCTCATCTAGTTTCATAGCTTCAGCTACAGCCTATACAAAAAGGAATTCAGGTCCCTATTTCTGTTCTGAGTCCCAGTTCTATATTTTTATTTCCTGAACATCTGCACCTAAACCACTTTGTAGATCCCTTAAACTCAGTTTATCTCTGCCACCCCTGGCTAAAACCTGATCCCAAGTCTCATTCTCAGACTAGTGAATCAGCACTACTCCAGTCATCCAGGCTAGAAGCAGCTTCATCTTTGTCTTCTCTCTCCTTCATACCCCACTAAATTCTATTAATTCTCTCTAAAAGAGTTCTCAAATCTATTTTCTCCTTTCCCTGCTCACTGCCACTGGCTTGACCGAGGACATACTCAATTCTCTCCTTGATTACTGCAGTAGCCCCTTATCTCTTTGCTAACGATTCTTTCATTCAACCTGTCTTCCATATTGCCATCAGAATTAATTTTCAAGGATACAAATCTTATCATGATACTGCCAGTGTTCATCCAGGAGAGAGTTCAAGTACCTTAGAGTGGGATTTCAGAACTGTCAAAATCTTATTCTTGTTTAGCTCTCCTGCCTCATCTTGCACCCCTTCCTCCCTGCCCACACTCCCTTATTCTCTCCCATGCACTCTGCTGTCTAGCTATGTGGAATTGTGGCTATTCATCTACTATTCTACTGCCATGTTTTTCCATACTTTTGTGCTTTGCTTAAGCCAGAGGTCTGAGGAACACAAAGCTTCTGTAAGATGTCACATAGTGTTCTGTAAAAAGTATCAATACTAGGAATAGCTTCCTGCTAAATTTTATGTGTGTATATATATACAACATAGTAAACAAACTTAAATCATTGTTCTTAAATGATTAGATAGTCTTCCTTAAGAAATAGTGTGCCATAAAAGGAATGTGATAAGAGAGCGACTGATATATGAATTTGTGACTTTTGCTTCAGTATGTAAGGGGTGTCTACCAAGAGTAGAATATTTGCTGATGGATGGGTTGTGCCGGTATCTCAAATTATCATTTCAACATATGTTTGACATACTATGTTTATTGTATACACAATGTTTACTGTGTTTATGTATTAACATAAAAATAAAAATTTGATCTGTTTGTCATAATTATTCTGTGAGGCTGCTTTTTGCTGTTTTCTTTAAGCCAAGCACAAAATATGTCTCATGAATTCCAGCCGGTGTTGTGTCAATACATTATAATTTTAAAGCATTTTCTAAATATTAACAAATTAGACTATATTAAACTTTAGAACTTCATTCATTAATATACTATTAAGAGCATAGGTCTTACAAAGGACTCATATCCAGAATGTATAAAGAACTCCTAAAATTCTTTAAGAAAGACAATCAAATAGAAAAGTGTCTACTTGTGTGAAAATAGACAATAAAAGAGCATACCCAAATGACCAATAAACAAATGAAAAAGTGTTTAAACTTTATCAGGGAAGTGAGCATTAAAATCACAAGGAGGCCAGGGGTGGTGGCTCACACCTGCAATCCCAGCACTTTGGGAGGCTGGGGTGGGCGGATCACTTGAGGTCAGGAGTTCAAGACCAGCCTGGCCAACATGGTGAAACCCCCGTCTCTACTAAAAATACAAAAATTAGCCAGGTGTGGTAAAAGGCACCCATAATCCCAGCTACTTGGGAGGCTGAGGCAGGAGAAACACTTGAACCCTGGAGGCAGAGATCACAGTGAGCCAAGGTTGCACCACTCCAGCCTGGGTGACAGAGTGAGACTGTCAAAAAAAAAAAAATCACAATGAGAGAATACTACACACCCACCAAAATGGCTAAAAGTTTTAAAAAGGATGTAGAATAATAAAAACTCCTAAACACTGGTTGTGGGAGGGTAAATGGGCACAACCTCTTTGGAAAAGTGCTTGGCAGTATATAATAAAGCTAAATATACACATATCCTATGACTTATATTTTACTTATAGGTATACATCCAACACATATGCTTATATGTTCACTATAGGACATGAATTAGAGTATTCAGAAAAGCATTATTGTAATAGACCCATGCTGGAAACCACCCAAATGCTCATCAACAGTAGAATAAATAAAACTGGGGTATACGCCCCCAATGGAATACTATATAGCAATGAGAATGAATGATCTGTAACTATACTGAGTAATATAGATGACTCTCACACACAATGCTGAGCAAAAGAAACCAGATACAAATGAGTATTAGTATATGATTTCATTTATATAAAGTACAATAGCAGGTGAAACTAATCTATGCTGTTAGATGTCAAGATGGTGGTTTCTCTTGGTGGGGAGAGGTAATAATAACTAGAAGACAGCATGAGAGGGAGTGCTGGTAGTGTTCTGGTTTCTGATCTGGCTTCTGGCTTATAACAATGTGTTAAGTTCGTAAAAATTCATTTAGTTGTACACCTATGCATTATATGAATATATACTCCCAGTAAAAATGTTAAGTGTTTGCTGGTCAAATAAGTTTGGAAAATGTTGTCTTATGCAGTTCTTTCAGCCAGGCATGCTCTTTTTCCCATTTCCAAAGTATGAAAATCTTAATCCAAATATGCATTTAATCTTACTACATTCTAGGTACTGTTTTAGGTTCTGAGACATAGTAGTGAGCAAAACATATAAAAATCCTCTCCCTCGTGTGGCTTACATTCTGTATCACTCTTAATTCATACTACAAGGATAATACTTATTACCAGTTAATATAATCTTTGAAGGCGGAGTGCAGATAAAGTCTGACTTTTCCCAGCATAGCCAGGGGACATGGCTAACTCCACATGTCCCTAGGCTTTACCTAGACTCTAATGGCTCCAAAGCAGGTAAGCTGAACAATTTTTAAAAATCAAAGAAGCATTTTATGACATTAAAGCCTTTAGCAAACCTAATATCTGACCTAAATCAAGTGCCTAAATTTTGAAGATATTTTCATTTTACCAATAATCTGTATTTTCCAAAGATTATTAAAGTCATGTAAACTAAAAGGCACTAAAGTTTTAATTTTTCTGACAAAATATTTGATTTAAGTGTTTATTTTTCTTTAAGCCAATTAATTAACACTCTTTTATGTAAACACCATACATGCAACACATATAAATACACAGACAGAAGAAGACCCAGTAGTTGTAAGATTTTTCGATTGCCAGTTTTTAAGTTTCTTAATTGGATTACTGGCTTCAGGGTGGAGTCCTTGGAAAAACAGGCCCAGGAAAGCATGTAGTTTCTAGGGCCTAATAAACAGGCACAGATGGAAGGTATAAACAGATCCCCAAAATTAAGGGTCTCATTTTTATACTAGATCCTGGATCCCCAGAAAAAGAGAGAGATGTTATAGGAAAAGACAGTGCAATGCTTTTACCATGCATTTCACTGCAAGGCAGTCCAAAACCAGTCAGCCAATTTTGTAATCAGCCCATCTTATTTCTTATTCTGAGCCAAGGCATATGCTGGGTTTTCCTCAGGGAATTCTCTCCCCTCTACGCAAATTATCTTCATCATTCAAGGTCTGTCCACCTTCAGTCTTACCTCTTTCATGAGGAATATACAAACCATTCCAGTCCACATGAAATCTCTAAATAAATCCCTATAATTTGCATTGTCTTACTCTTTTTCACATATATATAAATCATATATCGCTTTGTATATTGACTTAACTCCTAACCAGATTATAAACTTTTGGAAGATGAAGATCATATTTTTGTATTTTATCAGTGAGTTACACAGTATAATGAATATTATACTACATAATATTTAGTCTCAATGAATAAACAAAGGATGCATTAATGAATGTCATGAGACAAACTAAACTATATGCCTGGCCCTGGGATGCTCCCCTAGACCTCCTAGCATCCAAGTTTCTCTCAGTGCTCTCCCCTTCTGTTCTTATAATTACACCATGGTGTGCAACACAAGTTTCCTAACACTTTAGGAAGTGAATGTCTAACCAAGAACCATTCTCTTTAAACATCTTTTTGTTTCTGATTTCTTTTACTCTAGAAGACCTAAATATATTACATAAACATGAAACAAGCACCCAGTAAGTAACTTTGTAGAAATTTATTTTAATTTTCTGGTCCTTGGTCTATTAGGCAGTTAAAATGTACACATACTCTCCCAGAATATTATGTGCCAATTAACTGATAAAACTGCTGCTTAAAAACACACACACAAAAGATTAAAATCATAATTCTGAACTAACTCACTAAATGGTCATTGATTTTCTTTTAATTCTTAACAAATACCTTAGAAGCCTTGTGTATTGTGATGCAGTGAGAAAGCTGAGCAGTGGCCATTGTAGGAATGTATCAGGATTATTTCAACAAGTCCAACCTATTAAAAAATAATTAATTAATTAGAGACCTTGCCAAATATAATGCTTCCTCTCTTACTCTGCCCAAAAATGAAACTGAAAAAGTCTAAAAGCAAACAAAAAATTAAAATCAAAGACAGTTAAGTATAAACTGTTTTCAAGATTGTTCAGTTCAGAGAGAAATTTACCAAGCTACATTTTGAAGAGCAAAGGAAGAATGAATGCTAAGATAATTCTATCAGGCTCTATCTAAACGATAAAATGAATTTGAGTTGAAAAAAGTACCTATTGTTAATTTTCCAAAGGAGAACTATATAATTAAAATTTGACCATACTCATTGGGAAATAAGTTTAATAAACATTTTTATCTATAATTTTGGCATAAGGTCTCTGGATGAATTTTTCCACCCACTCAATGAAAATTATAAGATTATTTATTTGTTCAAAAATATATTCAGAGGAGAAAATACATTGTAAATCACCTAGAGACTCAATATATATTATTAATCCTTGTTATTCCCTCAGAGTGTAACAATATAGCAAAGGCTCAAAAACATTTCTTGAACTAACTTCAGTTGTAACTTATTTGCAAATTCAACTCAGAAGTTAATGTTTATACTTCATACCCATTAAAATAGTTATTCATTCAACTAGCTGAAAAAGAAATCAAGAGAGAAATCTCATTTACAATACCTACCAAAAAAATTAGCTAGGAATAAATTTAAGAAAGTGAAAGATTGCTACAATGAAACTACAGAACACTGATGAAAGAAATTGAACAGAACACAAAAAGATGGAAAGGCATCCCGTATTCATTGATTAGAAGAATTAATATTGCTAAAATGATCATATTAATTACCCAAAACAATCTACAGATTCAAATGCAATCCCTGTCAAAATACCAATTACACTCTTCATAGAAACGGAAAAAAACTCCTAAAATTCCTATGGAACCACAAAAGACTCTGAACAGCTAAAGTAATTCTGAGCAAAAAGAACAAAGTTGGAGGCATCACATTACCTGGCTTTAAAATATACTACAAAGCTATAGTAACCAAAACAGCATGGCACTGGTATAAAAAGAGATACATAGACCAATGGAACAGAATAGAGAACCCAGAAATAAATCTGCCTATTTACAACCAGCTTATTTTTGACAAAGTCACCAAGAACATACATTGGGGAAAAGATACCCTTGTCAAAAAATGGTTCTGGAGAAACTGCATATCCACAGCAGAAGAATGAGAGACCCCTGTCTCTCACCATATACAAAAATAAACTCAAAATATGTTAAAGACTTAAATGTAAGGCTCAAAATTATAAAACACAGGAAAAATGCTTCAGGACATTGGTCTGGGTAAAGATTTTATGGGTAAGACTTCAAATGCACAGGTAACAAAACCAAAAATACACAAATGATATTATATCAAACTAAAAAGTTTCTACACAGCTAAGTAAATAACCAACAGAGTGAAGAGACAGCCTATAGAATGGGAGAAAACATTTGAAAACTATTCATCCAAGAAAGAATTAATATCCAGAATATACAAGAAGTGCAAGCAACTCAAAAGCCAAAAAAAAAAAAAAAAAGCAAAGGATCTGAATAGACATTTCTCAAAAGAAGGCATACAAATGGCTAATAAGTATATGAAAAAATGCTCAACATGATTAATCATCAGGGAAATGCAAATTGAAACCACAATGAGATATCATCTCCCCACAGTTAGAATGGCTATTATTAAAAGGACAAAAAATGGCCAGGCGAGGTGGCTCACACCTGTAATCCCAGCACTTTGGGAGGCCAAGGTGGGTGGATCACCTGAGGTCAAGAGTTTGAGACCAGTCTGGTGAAATCCTGTCTTTACTAAAAATACAAAAAAAAAAAAAAAAAATTAGCCAGGTGTGGTGGCATGCACCTGTAGTCCCAGCTTCTTGAGAGGCTGAGGCAGGAGAATCACTTGAACCGGGGAGGTGGAGGTTGCAGTTAGCCAAGATCTTGTCACTGCACTCCAGCCTGGGCAACAGAGCAAGACTCCATCTCAAAAAATGAAATGAAATAAAATAAAATAAAATAACAAAAAATAACGAATGCTGGCAAGGATGCAAAGAAAAGAAAATTCTTATACACTGTTGGTAAGAATGTAAATTAGTACAAGCATTATGGAAAACAGTATGGAAGGTCCTCAAAAATCTTAAAATAGAAACCATATAATCCAGCAATCCTACTATTGGGTATTTATCCAAAAGAAAAGAAATCAGTATATGGAAGAGATATCTATACCTCCATGTTTATTGCAGCACTATTCACAATAGCCAAGATATGGAATCAACCTAAGTGTCCATCAACAGATGAATGCATGAATAAAATATAGGCCGGGGTGGCAGCTCATGTCTGTAATCCCAGCACTTTGGGAGGTTGAGGCAGGCAGGTTGCTTGAGCCCAGGAGTTCAAGACCAGCCTAGGCAACATGGTGAAACCCTATCTGTACAAAAAATACGAAAATTAGCTGGGTGTGGTGGCACGCACCTATAGTCCCAGCTACTTGGGAAGCTAAGGTGGACTACTTGAGCCCAGGAGTTCAAGGCTGCAGTGCAGTGAGCCATGATTGCACCACTGCACTCCAGCCTGGGCAACAGAGCAAGACTCTGTCAAAAAAAAAAAAAAAAAAGAAAGAAAGAGAGAAAGAAAGAGAGAGAGAGAGAAAGAGAAAAAGAAAGAAAGGAAGGAAAGGATATATATACACAATGGAATATTATTCAGCCATTTAAAAAAGCATGAAATCTGTCATTCACAGCAACAGAGATTAACCTAGATGATATAATTTTAAGTGAAGTAAGTCAAGTACAGAAAGATAAATACCATGTGTTCTCACTCATCTGGGAGCTAAAACAGATGAGCTCTCAGAAGTAGTTATTAAAAGCTAGGAAGGGCAGCAGGGAGGAGGTTGGATAGGGAGAAGTTAGTTAATGGATATAAAATTACAGCTAGATAGGAGAATAAATTATATTGTTCTATAGCACTGTAGAGTGACCACAGTTAACAATGATTTATTGTATATTTTAAAATAGTTCAACACAAAGAATGATAAATGTTTGAATTGATGAATATGCTTTGACTTGACCATTACATATTGTATACATGTATCAAAATATCACTCTGTACCCCATAAATATGTACAATTACTGTGTGTCAATTAAAAATTTTATAAATGATTATTCAAAAATGGAAAATAGTAAGTTGGTAAGGATGTGGAGAAATTAAAACCCTTATGCATTGCTGGTGGGAATGAAAATGGTGCAGCCATTGTGGAAAATAGCAATGGCATTCCTCAAAAAGTTAAACAGAATTACCATATTATCTAGCATTTCCATCTCTAGGTATATATTCAAAAGAATTGAAACCAGGGACTCAAACAGATACTTGTACACCAATGCTCATAGCCACATAATTCATATTAGCCAAAAGATGGAAACAGTTCGAATGTCTATTAAAAGATGAATGGATAAACAAAATGTGGTATTTACAATGGAATATTACTCAATTGTTTTATTTGTTTGTTTTGTTTTGTTTTTGAGACGGGGTCTCCTTCTGTCACCCACAGTAGAGTGCAATGGCGTGATCTCGGCTCACTGCAACCTCCCGCTCCCAGGCTTAAATGATTCTCCCACCTCAGCCTCTCGAGTAGCTGGGACTACAAGCATTTGCCACCACACCTCGCTAATTTTTGTATTTTTTGTGGAGATGGGGTTTTGTCATGTTGCCCAGGCTGGTCTTGAATTCCTAGGTTCAGGCAATCCACCCGCCTCATCCTCCCAGTGTGCTGGGATTATAGGCATGAGCCACCACACCCGACCCCTATTCAATCTTAAAAAGGAATGAAGTTCTGATACATGCAACAATGTGAATAAATCTTGAAAACATTATGCTAAGTGAAAAGCCAGACATAAAAGGACAAATATTATATGATCCCACTTATATGAGGTACCTACAGTAGGCAAATTCACAGAGACAGAAAGTAGAATAGAGGTTACCAGGTGCTGGTGGGGTAGAAGGAATAAAGAGTTTAATAGGTATAGAGTTTCTGTTCACGATGATGAGAAGGTTTTAGAAATGGATAGTGATAATGGTTGCACAACATTGCAAATGTGCTTAGTGTCACTGAGTTGTACACTTAGAAAAGCTGAGGTGTTGAGTTTCATATTACAGTTTACCACAATAAAAAAGTTAATATTTAAAATACATCTAGTTTTCACCCTTATTGTTTTGTTGATATAAAAAAGAAGCAGCCGGGCATGGTGGCTCATGCCTGTAATCCCAGGACTTTGGGAGGCCAAGGCGGGTGGATCACGAGGTCAGGAGATCAAGACCATCCTGGCCAACATGGTGAAATCCCATCTCTACTAAAAATACAAAAATTAGACAGGCATAGTGGCAGGCGCCTATAGTCCCAGCTACTCAGGAGGCTGAGGCAGGAGAACGGCGTGAACCCGGGAGGTGGAGCTTGCAGTGAGCCAAGATTGCGCCACTGCACTCCAGCCTGGCCGACAGAGCCAGACTCCATCTCAAAAAAAAAAAAAAAGAAGCAGCAGCAAATTTTCCCTTTTCTTTACAAAGTCTTAATTTAATTTCAACTGGGGCTTCTTTTCAAGGTTTTATGAAGTTCTGACCAAAATACTTGTAAAATAACTTCTTTAAAGATATTCCATTCTGGATCACCAAGGATAGCCTGTGACCGGTTTTTGTGTATCCATTAATGCAAGATTCTTGAAGATTTTTCCCAAGAGGGCAGAATTATTTGCGAACACTGCCACAAGGTGGTGATAGAGATTATAAATAGGTGGTAATATTAAATTTCTTTCAAATTATTTCTTCAGAGGGGCACTAGGGGACACTCTTTTACAATATTTTATATATGAGACTGAAAACCACCAATAGTTCTTTAACCCTTAAAGATTCCAAGCTATCTTTACTTGATTTGAGACTATAACCTTCATATCTAATACATCAGTTGTCCCCCTTAAATTTCAAAAAATAAAATGGGAAACAAAGTAGCTCTAAGAGTTTAAGATCTAGTCCCAGCCCATTAAACCATAATACACTACCCACTACTGGGGTAGTTATTAGTCTTAGACACAATAAATAAGAGAAATCATGATTTTCTAGAATAGTTTTCTATATTAGTATAGAATACTAATATTAATAAAACTAATAAAACTTAATAAAACTTACTTTTTAATTTTTAAATTAATTTTTAAATTAACTTTTTTAATTAATAAAATTAATAAAACTAATAAAACTTACTTATTAAAACTTACTTAATAAAACTAAATAGTTTTCTAAATTAGTAGGGTTTTAAAAATTTCTCTATGATCATAGACATTCTGATGTCATTTCTAGGGAATCAAGCTCTGAAAATAGCATCAGCCAATTAGAACACAAGGCATTACTACATCCATATTTTTGCAATGTATGGATGGCCTAGATTAAATTAATATTACCATTGAAAACTCTGAGGCATTCAGGACACTTGCTATTGAGAAAGGATTCAAGCAGGTTAATATTAGCATTTGGTAAATTCCTTAGGAATTGACATTTATAAAAGTAAAATTAAATTTTATACATATATGTATATATGTGTATATATATGTATGTATATATGTGTGTATATATGTATATATGTGTGTATATGTATATATGTGTGTATATATGTATATATGTGTATATATGTATATATGTATACATAGGTATATATGTATATATGTATACATAGGTATACGTGTATACATATGTGTATATGTACACATGTGTACGTGTGTGTATATGTACACGTGTGTACGTGTGTGTATATGTACACGTGTGTACGTGTGTGTATATGTATACGTGTGTACGTGTGTATACACATATACAGATCTGTATATGTATATATGTATGTGTGTGTATATATATATGTATATATATAGAGAGAGAGAGAGAAATAACCAGCAGTATAATCTAGTAGAAAGAGCCTTTAGAGTTAAGGAACCTAAGTTCAAATTCTGACTCAGTTACCTAGCAGCTGGCATGGCCAGGCACAGTAGGAGATAACTGGATCATCTGGGCAGTTTCTCATGAATGGTTTAGCACTATACCCTCAGTGCAGTTCTTGCAATAGTAAGTGAGTGAGTTATTGCAAGATCTGGTTGTTTAAAGGTGTGTAGAACCTTTTTTTTTTTCCTCTCTCTCTCTCTCCTGCTTTGGCCATGTAAGATGTGCCTGCTTCTCCTTTGTCTTCTGCCATAATTGTAAGTTTCCTGAGGCCTCCTCAAAAGTCAGGCAGATGCTACCATGCTTTCTGTACAGCCTGTGGAACTGTGAGCCAATTAAACCTCTTTTCTTTATAAATTACCCAGTCTCAGAAATTTCTTTATAGCAATGCAAGAACAGACTAAAACAGAGCTCTTCTTTTTTACTTCTACCACACACTCCCTGGATGAACAAATACACTCCCATTGTTTCAAGTATAACTTCTATCTTATTGATTCTTATGTGTATATCCCCAACCCAGGTCTCTCTCAGAAGTTGCTGACTTGTTCTTCTAACTGATCATAAGACTGTTCCACCTTGATGTTCTCAACACATTTGAATGTGAATTATTTTCCCCAAAAACTTACTTCTGTTCCCTCGCTCAGTGAATGACATCATCACATACCTAGTTGCTCAAGCACAAAATCTGTGACTCAACCTTAATCCCTTCCTCGTTCCCATGTTCCATCACCTTAATATTTCTCAAATGTAGGCCAGGCGCAGTGGCTCACGCCTGTAATCCCAGGACTTTGGGAGGCTGAGGTGGGCGGATCACCTGAGGTCAGGAGTTCAAGACCAGCCTGACCAACATGGAGAAACCCCATCTCTACTGAAAATACAAAATTAGCTGGGCGTGGTGGCACATGCTTGACCAACATGGAGAAACCCCATCTCTACTAAAAATACAAAATTAGCTGGGCGTAGTGGCACATGCCTGTAATCCCAGCTACTTGGGAGGCTGAGGCAGGAGAATCGCTTGAACCCAGTAGATGGAGGTTGCAGTGAGCCAAGATCACGCCATTGCATTCCAGCCTGGGCAACAAGAGTGAAACCCTGTCCCCCTGCACATACATATATATATATATATCTCAAATGTGTCCAACTCCTCACTTTAGCCAGGTTGTTGTCATCTCTACTTTAAATCAACCAGTCTCATCTTTTGCCTGTACTGCTGCAACCACCAATTTCCTGTCACTGGTATTCTCCTTCTCCAGTCTGTTCTGTATATTGCAGCCAGAGTTTTTAAATTACAAACTCGACTATGCATTTTCCCAGATTGAAATACTTCAATGGCTCCCCACTACTCTCAGGATAAAATCTAAAACTCTTACCATGGCTTCAAGATTTGACTCATGCCTCCCTAGCCTCAGCTCTATTTTCCCTTATACTTTTATTTACCAGCTATTCTTACCTTCTTTACCCCAAAGGACTATATTCCTTCTAGCTCTCAGGATTTTGCAATATTCCTTCTGCCTGAAACATCCTCCTCCATTCCCAATTCCTACTCATCTCATAGATATGGTGTATTAGTCCATTCTTGCATTGCTATAAAGAACTACCTAAGACTGGGTAATTTATAAAGAAAGGGGTTTAAATGACTTACAGTTATGCAGGCTACACAGGAAGCATAGCTGGGGAGACCTCAGGAAACTTACAACCATGGCAGAAGGGGAAGGAGAAGGAGGCATGTTTTACACGGCCAGAGAAGGAGGAAGAGAGGGAAAGGGGAGGTGCTACACACTTTTAAACAACCAGATCTCATGAGAACTCATAATTACAAGAACAGCAAGTGGGAAATCTACCCCCATGATCCAGTCAACCCCCACCAGGGCCCTCCTCCAACACTGGGGATTACAATTTGACATGAGATTTGGGTGGAGACATAAATCCAAACCATATCATATGGCTTAGTAAAATTTCCTTAAGGGATGACTTCCTAATTCCCACTACCACTATTACGAAGTCTGGGTTATGTGCCCTTTGCAATATATACTGTACCATAGTTGTCTTTAAGTATCCCCTGACCTACTGTGAGCTAACATGAGAGCAAAATTGTGTCTAGCTGTTGTGTCAGTCTAGCTCATTCTTTATATTTTAAAGTTTTATTTATTTATTTATTGAAAAGGACTCTCACTGTGTCACCCAGGTGAAGTGCAGTGGTATAATATCAGCTTACTGCAACCTCTGTTTCCAGGGTTCAAGCCATTCTCCTGCCTCAGCGTCCTGAGTAGCTGGGATTACAGGTGTGTGCCACCACATCCAGCTAATTTTTGTATTTTTAGTAGAGATGGGGTTTAGCCATGTTGGCCAGGCTGGTCTAGAACCCCTGACCTCAAGTGATCTGCCCACTTTGGCCTCCCAAAGTGCTGGGATTACAGGCATGAGCCACTGCACCCAGCCTTTAAAGTTTTTTTAATAGGTATAATTCAGTGGGTTTTAGTATATTCACAAAATTCTGCAACCATCTGTTTAATATAGTATAAACCATCAATTTAGTGTATTCACAAAATAATGCAAACACTATCAATTCCAGAACATTTTCATCACCCCTAAAAGAAATCCCATGCCTATTAGCAGTCACTCCTATTCTCTCCTTTCCCCAGCCGCTGGAAACCACTAACCTACCTTTCATCTTTATGAAATTGCCTATTCTGAACATTACATATAAATGAAACCATACAATATGTGATCTTTTGTGTCTTGTTTAGCTCATTTTTTTTTTTTTTGAGACGGAGTCTGGCTCTGTTGCCCAGGCTGGAGTGCAGTGGCGCAATCTCGGCTCACTGCAAGACCCACCTCCCGGGTTCATGCCACCCTCCTGCCTCAGCCTCCCGAGTAGCTGGGACTACAGGCGACTGCCACCATGCTTGGCTAATTTTTTCGTATTTTTAGTAGAGACGGGGTTTCACCATGTTAGCGACGATGGTCTCGAACTCCTGACCTCATGATCCGCCCGCCTCGGCCTCCCAAATTGCTGGGATTACAGGCGTGAGCCACCACGCCTGGCCGTTTAGCTCATTCTTGAACTCTCAGCATCATCACAGTACTGGAACTAAATAGGTACTCAATAAATATTTGCTGAGGCTGGGCATGGTGGCTCACACCTGTAATCTCAGTATTTTGGGAGGTCACGGTGGGATGGATCACTTGAGGTCAGCAGTTCAAGACCAGCCTGGCCAACATGGTGAAGCCCTGTCTCTACTTTAAAAATAAATAAATAAGTAAAAAATAAAAAAAATTAAAAACCTAACTTAACTAACTAAATATTTGCTGAGTCAACAGAGAAGAACTATAGGAACAAGGAATAATTAAGAGTCTAGAAAAATACCACAAAATTTTAAAGGTAGAAGAAACTTTAAATATCATTGCTATGGTTTGAATGTGTATCCCAAAGTTCATATTTTGGAAGCTTAATCCTCAATGCAAGTGTTGAGAGTTGGGGCCTTTAAGAGGTGATTAGGTGCCTTCATGAATGGATTAATATTGTTACCCCAGGAGCAGGTTCATTATCAGGAGAGTGGATTTGTTATAAAAGCAAGTTTGGCACACTCACTCTCTCTCTCCTTGCTCTCTCTGTCTTACCAGGTGATGCCTTCCTCCATGTTATGACACAGCAAGAAGGTCCTTACAAGATGCATATCCTTGTTCTTGGACTTCCCAGCCTCCAGAATCATAAGCCAATACATGTCTGCTCTTTTTAGTTACCCAGCCTCAGGTATTGTTACAGCAGTACAAACTGGACTAAGACAGTAATTTAGTCCAAATATCTAATTTTCTAGATGGGGAATTCAAAATCTAGACTTACCCGGGATTAGTCAGCCACTCAGTAACAGAACTGAGACTAAAACTCAACAAGTCTGGCTCACAATTTAAAAGTTTTTCCAGACTGACTCTCCAAAATGAAATTCTCCTTTGCTTTCATTCTATCTAATATGATGTACTACCAGGGCCTCCTTAGTTCTTCGGCTTGCCTACTTATTTCTAAACATGGGAGGGTCTCTTTCTAGTGTTCTAGCATGAGCTTGCTTCAGGAAGGCAAAAAGATCTAAATTATTTTTTCAAAAAACATGGTGAAACTTCGTCTCTACTAAAACTGGGCATGGTGGTGGGTGCCTGTAATCCCAGCTACTTGAGAGGCTGAGGCAGGAGAATTGCTTGAACCCGGGAGGTGGAGGTTGCAGTGAGCCGAGATTGCACCATTGCACTCCAGCCTGGGCAACAAGAGTGAAACTCCGTCTCAAAAAAAAAGCCAGACTCCTTTCAGCCTCTAATTATTCTGTTGCTACTGTTTTCCCTTTGAGCAGGTGTTTTGTGGAGGTCTTCTATTTAAGTACAAACCCTGCTTAATTTTAAAAGCTCACAAGTTCACAGGAGGTATGACTCTAGAGAGCATGCATTCTCAGAGAATAGGTCTGATTTTTTCTATGTGTTATCCCTTTGTTCAGGCTCATTATCTAAAAACCTAGAAGAGATTTCATAACTATGGATTTTAAGAACTGAAAGCTAACTTTGCAATGTCATTCTCTTATATATTTGTTTGCAAATTAGATCCACACATATTTGAAACTTCACAGTTCATCAATACCATTCCCTCTTCTGTTTTTGAGACAAGGTCTTACTCTGTTTACCCAGGCAGGAATGCAGTGGCGCAATCTTGGCTCACTGCAACCTCGACCTCCTGGGCTCAAGTGATCCTCCCACCTCAGCCTCCTAAGTAGCTAGTACTAGAGGCCATGTGCCACCACACTCAGCAAATTTTATTTTTGGTAGAGATGAGGTCTCACTATGTTACCCAGGCTGGTTTTGAACTTCTGGGCTCAAGCAATACTCCTTTCTTAGCCTCCCAAAGTGCTGGGATTATAAGTGTGAGCCACTGCAACTGACCCTCACTCTTACATTTGATATGTCTACTTTGTGACAAGGATTATGATCTTCTTGAGAAAGAGGCAATATTTCTATGCTCTTTCTGGTAAAGATTCACTCTAGGCTTACCTCTTGACCTATATCTCAATTGCCCTATTTTTTTTGTTGTTGTGTATTCATTTTCTTTTCTTTTCTTTTCTTTTTTTTTTTTTTGAGACAGAGTAAAGTGCGGTGGCATGATCTGTCACCTAGGCTGGCATAATCACAGCTCATTGCAACCTCAAACTTCTGGGCTCAAGTGATCCTCCTATCTCAGCCTTCCAAGTAGCTGAGACTATATGCATGCACCACCATGCCCTGCTAATTTTTAAAAATTTTTTATTTTTGTAGAGTTGGGCGGGCGGGTGGAGGGGGAGGTCTCACTATGTTGCCCAGACTGGCCTCGAACTCTTGGCCTCTCAAAGTTTTGGGATTACACATATGAGACACCACACCACGCCTTCAATTGCCCTATTTTATATGGTGGCACAATTACTTCCTATTTTACCCCTACTATGTGTGAGTCCAAGATTCACATAAAGATTAGCCAGCTGCTGTTTAGTTTACTAAGGCCTAAACCACTTTTTTAACCATTCCAAGTGAAGCAAAAGCCAAAGTTTTATTACATTTTCCCAAATATAATCATAGTTGATTTATGAAGGCTCTCTACCCATCTTTCTCAATCTTCAAAAACCGTTTTTTACAAGAAAATCCCTTTTCTATCAGGTGAACACTATCCAATAGCTGGATTCTGAAATGTAACTATATTACCTTCCTTACACATGCATGTTGTTAAGAATGGCTTTACTCAAAAGAAGTGTACGTTAACATAAATGGGTTCAATAGATTCCTAAAGCTGGAAGGGAGCACAGACATCTTCCAACCCCTTTGATTTAAAGAAGATCCAATTCTGTGGAGGAAGAATCTTTTTTTCAGCAAATGATGCTGAAACAAAAGGACATCTGGAGGGTGGGGGGAAGAACAGAGAATTAAAAGAAACTTAACCTAAATCTCACACTGTATACAAATATTAATGCAAAATGGATCATGGATTTAAACCTAAACATAAAACTATAAAGAAAAGGGGCCAGGTGCAGTGGCTCACACCTGTAATCCCAGCACTCTGGGAGGCCGAGGTGGGAGGATCACGAGGTCAAGAGATCGAGACTATCCTGGCCAACATGGTGAAACCCTGTCTCTACTAAAAATAAAAAAAAATAAAAAAATTTAGCTGGGCGTGGTGGTGCACACCTGTAGTCCCAGCTACATGGGAGGCTGAGGCAGGGGAATCGCTTGAACCCGAGAGGTGGAGGTTGCAGTGAGCTGAGATTGCGTCACTGCACTCCAGCCTGGCACAGAGCTCGACTCCATCTCACAAAAAAAAAAGAAAAAAGAAAAGGAAAGTGAGGCTAAGCAAGGGAACTTGGTTTGCCAAAGTTCGCCCAATTACTTAGACCTTCCAACAGAGCTTGCTTCAATAAATTATTCACCATTTTAACAAATTCCATTTGGCCCTGGTAATTCCCCTACCTGTGCTCATTCAGAGAAAATGGCTTCCACTATATTAATTGAGTATTTGTTCATGCTCTTTTGACTTTTTAATATCTTTTTCATGCTATTTCAATTATTCATTCATTCAACATCTACGAGGCAACTACAATGTGCCAGGCAACAACATGCAGGATTACGAGATGTAAAATACTGTTCCTACCTCAACAGATTGATGGTCCAATGGAGGAGAAATTAGATTATGATCCTGCTGAGATTAAAAACCCCTTTAGGGGCCAGAACCACCCCTCATTTCTACCAGCTGAGTACACGATGTACTGCACAGCCTGTCCAGTGCCCTGCGTACTCGGACACATTTTGGCGATTGGCTAATCCTGAGGTTCAAGACTCTCTCCCTCTGTTTAGGGAACTAAAGTCCATAGGGATTAATTGGCAAATCCTCACTAAAGTGAAAGGGGAGCTGAGGTCAAGGGGGGCGGGGTGTCTTGTCCCCACCTCTCTCACCTCTTGGCCTGTACCAGGCATCGATCCTGGCAGAAAACCTCAATGGCTGGGGAGAATCTGACCCAGGTAAGATAAACTTCCCCAAAGCTCCACCACACACGGCCCCCTCCAATGTCGGGCACAGACATCGTCTGCCCTGCCAGCCTCATCATGGCTCATTATGGCTGCTGCTTGCTCAGCAAGTTTGATTTCATGTCCAGAAAAATCTGAATTTCAAAACTACCTGGGTGCTCTCTGTCCAGTTCTGGGGGAAATCGCCTCCCTTTTGCCTTCCTCCTCAGCCCCCTGCCCTCCCGATTCTCTTCACAGTACTTTAGGCCCTCACGAAATATGATACTTTCAAATCCAACTTAAAGCCTTAAGTAATAAGAAAAGAAAAAAAAATTGTTTTTTGACATAAAGACAGAACTAACAACGCCCGAGTGCCCTCTCTGGGCCGAGACCTCGCGTCTCAACAGCCCTCACCTCAGCTCGTCGACGCTTCCCTCCCACCGGGGGTCAACGGCCTTTTCCGGCCCAAACCCGCTCCTCGGCTCATGAATAGTCAACGAGGCCTTTCTGGGCGGGACCAGAGGTTTCCTCATGAATAATTCATGACCCGTCCACGGCTAGCCTGGGCGACCGGCCTCGCTAGACTTCATGAATATGCAAAGCAGGGGCGAACGGCGGCTAGCCGGCCCCTAGCCCGCCCGGCCCCTCAGCAGCCGCCTCTCAGCCACGGGCTGCACACTGACCCGACGCGACCTTCGGTCAGGGGCCGCCAGCCTGGGCCACCTATACAACGACAGCCTGCTCCGGGGCTTCCTGAGGAGGTGCCTGCCCCGCCGAGGTTAGGACCCGAGGGACCGTGGGGCTCGGGCGGGCCAGGACGCCAGGCCGGCGGGTCCCAGAGAGGTCTGAGGCGGGCGCGGGGCGGCGTAGGGGAGGGAAGCGAGAGCCTGGGGGGCCCAGGGACCCGAGTTAGAAGAAGGCCCGAGAAGTGCGGCGCGGTGGCTCCACCTGGGATCCCAGCACTCTGGGAGGCTGAGGCGGGCGCGTCACTTGAGGTCAGGAATTCGAGACCAGCCTGGCCAACATGTTGAAAACCCGTCTCTACAAAAAATACAAAAATTAGCTGGGCGTGGTGGCGCGCGCCTGTAGTCCCAGCTACTTGGGAAGCTGAGGCACGAGAATCGCTTGAGCCCAGGAGGCTGAGGTTGCAGTGAGCCGAGATTCCGCCATTGCACTCCAGCCTGGGCGACAGAGCGAGACTCCGTCTCAAAAAAATTTTAAAAAGTACAAAAATTAGCTGGGCCACCTGACGTGCGCCTGTAGTCCCAGCTGCTCGGGAGGCTGAGGTAGGAGGATCGCTTGAGCCGGGGAGTTTGAGGTTGCAGTGAGCCAAGATCGTACCATTGCACTCCAGCCTGGGCAACAGAGGGAGACCCTGTCTCAAAAATAAAAAAAAAGAAAAGAAAGAAAAAAGACATAAGGCCAGAAGGCCAGAGCTTTCCAATACTTGAGGGCATCTGCAACCTCTTCATCCCTACCCTGGACCTGACTTTGCATTCTTTTTAACATTAATTTGTAATTATGCAAATAAAACATAAATATATTCTCCTTTGTGCCCTACCCCTAATCTCAGTTTTTTCTGCCCTGGTAACTGTGGGAGCAGTTGGGGGTGTGGCTCCTTGGATCGTTTCTCACCTGTTTAGGTAGATATTTCGTATCCTGTGGTGCTTTCCAAAGGCTCCTGGAGTCCCATGAACCTCCCCAAGGGGATTTCCCAAGAGAGTAGATGAAAGAGTGAGCCACTTGAAACCTGTTCTTATTTTGTTTCTGCAGGAAAGAAAAAAAAAACTATTCAAGTTGGCGAGAACATGAGTTTAGAACATAATGACTAAAACTGAAATTTGGGCTGAAATATTCTTTTAGTGCAAGTTTTCTCAACCTTCTCCCCACCCCCACCATCATAACAACCAAAAATTTCTCTAGACTTTGCCAAATGTCCCATGGGGTGTGCAAAATTGCCCTCTGTTGAGAACTACTGCGTTCACCCTATACTTTCCGGAAGTAACTGCTTTTTAAGCTCCAACCACACAGATGGTTTGTCTGCACCAGCCCTTCTCAGCCTCCGCATTTACCAGCCTCTCTGGCTGGATCACTAGGCCCTCTGTGCTGGCTGTTCTAATTTTCTTCTGCCTTCAGATCTGAGCTCAGTCAACTGCTACCATATCCAAAGACTTACCCCTCTCTGCCCTATACTATTGGCAGTCTACCCCACCAGCAAACACAGTTATTCGTTATTCTGTTTCTTTCATAGAATTTCTCTCAATCTAATTTTTTTTTTTTTTTTTTTTTTTTTTTTTTGTGAGACAGAGTCTTGCTCTGTCACCCAGGCTGGAGTGCAGTGGCGTGATATTGGCTCGCTGCCACCTCCACCTCCCAGGCTCAAGTGATTCTCCTGCCTCAGCCACCTAAGTAGCTGGGGTTACAGGCATGCATCACCATGCCCGGCTGATTTTTGTATTTTTAGTAGAGATGGGGTTTCACCATGTTGGCCAGGCTGGTCTTGAACTCCTGACCTCAAGCAATCCACCCACCTCAGCCTCCCAAAGTGCTAGGATTACAGGCTTGAGCCCCCAAGCCCAGCCATGGACTTCATTTCTTTGATAACCTGTTTTGTTTTTTTCTCTCTATCACCTGGAATAAGTAAGTAAGTGTCATCAGAGGCCTGATCTGGCGGAGTCGCCCCAGGATGCCCAGTGCTGGCACACACAGTAGGCACTCAATAGACATTGGTGGACTGAAATTATAAATTACCCTGTTTTCCTCCGAAGAGCTTCTGTGGAGTTTCTCTTACTTCTTTCCTTCCTCACCATTTGGCAGGCTCCTTGTGACCAAAGGAATGGATTAATAAGCCCCTGTGCCTGGCCCCTGTGCTAGGAGCTGTTGGGTAAAGCCTTCATCTTTACCGCTGGCTTAACTCCTTGAGGTCAAGAGCTGTTATTTTTACTTCTTTTATTATGTTCATTGAAGGTATTCAAATAGATACCTGAATTAACTGTTCCTCAGTGAACATTGAAGGTATTCAAATAGTTGAATGAATGAATCGGTTACTTAAGGAACAACATTAGATAATTAAACATTGACAGTGTTACAGGGGGCTTTAGAAATACTCCAAGTCTAGTCCTTTACTTTACAGATGAGAATATAAGTAATTTGCTCAAGGTCCCTAAGCTTCTTAAGAGGCCGGGTCACATGTACAACCCATGGTCTCATACCTCTTATTTTGAGACTCTTTCTTGTCTCCAGTCAGGCTAGTTTCTGATTACTTTTCTGTGAACCTGACTTACAACTCAGACACAGAAGTCCCAAGCCAAATACTCGCTTCTTGTCAACTAAAAAGGCTTTGAGCCTGTGCTTTTTCATCTTGATTAAATACAGCCCTGGGGATAATGGCCTAATGAACTCAAAAGTGCTATATGATATTCAAACAACTTCCCAGCTTCCTTTGTACCTTTCAGTGATAAGAGACTGGGAATTGTCCCTGTCAAAGCATTTTGTTTGTTTTGCAAGTAGAAAATGTGCATTGTGGCAGAACTTGATCAGTTTAGAAATTTCCAAATAACCAGAATTTTGACAAAGGTAAAAAGTCTCCAGCTGAAGTTTTGCCAAACCCCAGTAGTAAAATAACACATGACACAGGTGAAAATAGAGGAGGGAATCTTATTTGAGATGACTTTCATTGGCTAAATTTGACCTTTCTCTCTTTAGACACATTTACATCACCTGACTCTGTACCTGAAACAGTTGTCAGTCACCAATCAGTCTCTAGTTTGAGCTTTGTTTTTTGAGGGCTAAGGACCATTTTTCGTTGTTAGTTAAAAAGAATTCAGGGTTTCTTTCTTGTTCTTCTTGATCATTTCATATAGGCAGCACCTGGTTAGGGGAGTCTTGGCGTCATGCTTTCAGTTTTTAGACCTTTATAGTTTATTCCGAGGCATCTGACAGTGCACTGTGTCACCAGAAGCAGAGCTATCTTTTTTTTTTTTGAGATGGAGTCTCACTCTCTCGCCCAGGCTGGAGTGCAGTGGTGCAATCCCGGCTCACTGCAACCCTCCGCCTCCCGGGTTCAAGCTATTCTCCTGCCTTAGCCTTCTGAGTAGCTGGGATTACAGGCATGCGCCACCACACCCAGCTAATTTTTGTATTTTTGGTAGAGACGGGGTCTCACCATGTTGGCCAGGCTTCTCTCGAACTCCTGACCTCAAGTGATCTGCCCACCTCAGCCTCGCAAAGTGCTGGGTTTACAGGCGTGAGCCACTGCGCCTGGCCAGCAGAGCTATCTTTTGCCTACCTAAAATGATCGGAACTCTGCTCATCAAGTTCAGTTTAACCTTGGAAATCCTCCCCCAAAAAATGGTTCATTGGAGGGTTATCAAAATAGAAATATTGAATATAAAATATCTTCCCAGGAGGATATTTCCCATTAGATGTGTCTCCCTCTTCAGTGTACACAATCGTGATACCAAATATAGAGAAAAAGAGATTGGGATGGAGGGAGCAGCTAAGTAGGAAGGGTAGTTTCTTTATTTGTTTTCAACATTTATTGGAACTCTGAAAAGCATAATGTCCAGTTATGAAGTTGACACCACCACATTCATTCATCAAGCATTTATTTTGTACCTACCATTAATAAAGCACTCTACCTTGCACTGCGGGGATCACAGAGGTAATGACTTGGTCCCCAAACTATGGAATTCTACAGTTTAGTGAGAGAGGGAGATCTGTGATACTAATGGAGGTATAAAGTATATGATAGAATGTAGAGAAGGAAGCTACACATTCTGAATTGGGAATCAAGACAGCTTTACAAAAGAGGTGACATTTTTAGGAGGAGAGCATGTGTATATCATTTTCTTTACTTGTTCTTTGGCAATGGTTAGAATACCTCAAACCAATAAAAGCAGACATTTTGCCCACCACTTTAGAATGAGGAGAGAAAAGGAGGTGTAAGATCCTTTCTTTCCACTCCTGGCAGCAACATGCTTCTGAAAGCTAAATGTTGCTTTTGCAATTCCAAGTGTCTCACTTACGATTAAGAGAAAAGCTGAGTAGAGAGAGTCCTCCCTCATCTTTGTCCCCTTCCTCAGTAAGGTTAAGTTAAATGTGGCTTTTTCTTTTCAGCTGCCTTATTTTAAGCGCTCATTTCTATGTCGGGATGTCTTTTTATTCTGGTTTCCATTGGAGCATGCAGTAGCCATCTGATTGCAGGGAGTGGTCACTGGTGCTTATAAATGTATTTATGAACGTGACTCTGAAATCCTAGAATTTTAAGCATCACCGAGAAAAGAGAAGCAAAATGATTTAGAGAACTGTAGTTTTGATTCAAGCCTTTGCGTGTGAACTGGCTATATTGCTAGCTTATTTGGGGTATTTTGTAGAAAGAAAGGCAAAGGTAAAGAGTTGCCAACCGAGCTGTAGCTTCTGAACTTTATCCATCCTTTGGCAGCCAAGGAGAAAGCAGTCAATATGAAATAAGTCCCCAACTATAAGGTCTAAACATAATTCCTGCTGCTTCTGCCCACATAGTGTCATCCTACAAAATATAATTCCATGTGTAGGTGGCAATTTATTATGGCCGTCATCCTCACTCAGAGCTGCATATCAATTTCTGCCTCCTTCAAATGAATCTGTTCTGACTGGCAGAAGGATCTCCATGAGGGTTGTGAGTTTTTGGGGAAAGCCTAGGGTTTAATGAACTAGAACAGGAAATGACAGGGGCTGTAAGTGTAAAGCTGCTGCTTGCTTGAGTGCCTAGACTAAGAAATGATGTCAAGAAAGATATTGAATTCTCAAGCATTATGGAAATGTTCTATTTAGCTACTTGATTCTGTCTTCTGAATGTGAAGTTTCGTTGACGTGTAAAATGATGTTATTCCCCTTAATGATTATCACTTAATAGAAGTTTCAAATGAAATCGACTTTAAACTAGTTTTCCATGATTGCTACTTGGTACATCTGCACAGAGATCTAGATGAGGTGATGTACAAAATGCTCCACACTATTGACAGCCTATAATTTGAGGCCCTTTATTTTCTACACTTCTTGGCGCTTGGAAAATGACGGTTACCTAAAACATGGTTTAGAATTCCTATACGACCATATTGCAGGCTCAGCCCCATGAGGGGCTTGTTTTTCTTCCCTTAGTTGATATAACTTCGTGATAAGTTAAATTTGTAAATACTGATGATCTCTGATTGCGAAGGTCCCAAATTTAAGATCAGAATACTTATGATCTTTGCATAAACTGAACACAATAACACAAGAAATCTGAGGCAGACTTTTCTTACACCTCTTCTCATTAAACTAACAAAGGCCAATTTCTTCCTGCCAAAAGAAAGGTTAAACAGCTGGAAAGTGTAAGACATCACAGGAAAATTACCTACCTACCTTTAAAAATGGAAGGGAGAAAGAGACTTGGAAGAAGTCCTCCTTTACAGGTTTGCTAGAACTTACATCTAAGGAAACTGTCTTCCTCCCAAAAAGCCAGATTTCTGTGGAAACCATGTTCTTAAACGTGCCAGGGGCAATATTAACCTCAGTCACATTAATGCACAGCACAGAAAGATTTACCGTCTTAAGAGGCATTGGGGGCTGGGTGCAGTGGCTCATGCCTGTAATCCCAGTATTTTGGGAGGGTGTGGAGGGAGGATTGCCTGAGCCCAGGAGTTTGAGACCAGCCTGGGAAACATGGTGAAACCCCGTCTCTATAAAAAATACAAAAATTAGCTGAGCATTGTGGCATGCACCTGTAGTCCCAGCTACTCAGAAGGCTGAGGCAAAAGGATTGATAGAGCCCAGGAGGTTGAGGCTGCAGTGAGCTGTGATTGTGCCACCGCACTGCAGTCTGGGCAACAGAGCAAAACCTTGTCTCTTTAAAAGGAAAAAAAAACCAGTATATTTTATTAAACATATAGATCAAATTCACCACTTTAAAATATACAAATCAGCATATTTTAGTATGCTGATTCACAAAGTTGTGCAACCATCACCACTGTCTAATTCCAGAACACCTGCATCACCCCCAAAAGAAGCCCCATGCTTATTAGCAGTCATTCCCCCATTCCTTCCTCCCCTATTCCTTGTCAACCATTAATCTACTTTCTGTCTCTATGGATTTGTCTACTCTGGATATTTCATATAAACGAAATCATACACTATGGCCTTTTGTATCTGGCTTCTTTCACTTAATAACTAAAGTATAATATTCATTCATGCTGTAGCATGTATTCCTTTTTATGGCTAAAAAGTATCCCATGTTTACCACATTTTGTACATCTATCAGTTGACGGACATTTAGGTTTTCACCCTTTTGCTGTGAAGAATAATACTTCTATGAACATTTATGTAGAAGGTTATGTGTGGATATATGTTTTCATTTTTCTTGGATATATATCTGGGAGCAGAATTGCTGCGTCACATGGTAACTCTATGTTTACCTTTTTGAGAAATGGTCAAACTCTTTCCAAAGCAACTACACTGTTTTACATTCACCAGCAACGTATAAGGGGTTCCAATTTTCCCATATCTTTGCTTCGTCATTTTCCCCTTTTAAAAAAAGTTATAGGTTGGGTGTGGTGGCTCATGCCTGTAATCCCTGCACTTTGTGAGGCCAAGGTTGGTGGATCACCTGAGGTCAGGAGTTTGAGACCAGCCTGGCCAACATGGTGAAACCCTGTCTCTACTAAAAATACAAAAATTAGCCAAGTGT